>NC_000023.11:148414999-148718030 GCF_000001405.40 Homo sapiens
GAAATGCTGGAGCTCTGCATAAGATAGTCATTTCTCAAAATGAAGCTGGGACAGGCTGCTTTGTGACTGGAAGGTACTGTAGGGGAATCTGCTCGAGAGACTGTAGAGGGAGTTTCTAGTTTCAATAGAAGTTCAGACTAATATGATCTTCTAGGTGCATTTAATTATAAATTCTTAAATTCCAAGCTTTGCAATAAGGTTGAACCCCAAAGAGCTACCAAAGATACCTTTAACTCATTCGGGTTTTAACTATATATGCATGTCAGCATATAGTTAAAACATGGGTGTACATATATACATATGCAAACATGCACATACATATATACAGTATATATGTATGTATATATGAAGTATATAGATATTCTGTATACATGTATGTATATATACTGTTTATGTATGTATGTGTATGTTTGTGCTGAATATGTATGTGTGTGTTTGCATATGTATATATGTACAATTCACTGAGATCTCAGTTTTACAATATTACAACTATTAAAATAGTTATCTATAACACTGTATTTCTCCCCAAATATTAATTATCAGGAAACTTAGTTACAGCAGTAGCCGTTTGTAAAAAGATATCCCCAAATAAGTTCTGAAGGCAAATTATCTTTCTTTTCTGCAATATTCCATAAATTAAGGCTAATGATTTTAGAGCAATTATCTGGGACAAACCATGGACTTTTAGAGAAAAGGAATTCATATGGATTCTATCTCACTTTGGAGTGTTCACTTGCGCATTTGTGAGTTACCTTCATCAAATGTCTACTGTTCTGACCATTTTAGAAACATAAAAGATGGAGTTCAAAGGTTCAAACTGAAGAAAATGGAGAAAATTGACAATAATACATAAAGCAGCTGTGTTTAAAATAAATCTTCAAATATTCTCTACCTCACCACTGGCACAGCTGTAGGGGAAACTGCTGTAAATGAGCATGTTTTACATTTGGACAGTATAATGAATTTTCCCATAATACTTAAGCAATTAGCTAAGCGTTAGTGTTTTGCATAGAATTTTGTCCTTGTTATAATAATTTCTTACATGTTTATATCACTTTAGAGTTTGTAGTGTTCTTTGATGTATATCCTTTTGCTTCAACAAGTTACCCAACAGTTCCTCTGTGCTAGGCATTTGACACGTTCTACAGTCTAGCTCATTTAGCCTTCACAAGAGCTTCATACAGAAGGGCCTATGATCTCAGCTTGTGGATGAGCAGCCTGAGGCTTGGATTGAGTCAGTACCTTGTGCCTGCTGATGCACCTTCAAATTAGAATATGGAGCCTGGCTTCTACCTCAGATCCAAGTTCCCTGGAGCCCAAGCTCTTTGCCATCATCCCTTGCGGCTTCTGAACTTTGCCTTCCCTTTCTTCTTGTTTCACTTCCACCTCTTACTTATGTGTGGTCTCATACTGTTTAAAACCTTTATTGGTAGTTACTATGGGGAAGTAGTTATATAAGATAGAGCTGCTAAACAATGACAGTCATAACAATAACAATAATAACACTAGTTGCTAATATTTATTGAGCTAAACCGACTGTGTCTGGCACTGACTAGGGGCTTTTGATTCCTTATCTCCTTGAATCCCCACACATGTATCATGTGTTGCATTTAAAACTTACTCAGTCCTGGGAAGCTGGCAAAACTAGCATCCATATCTATGGTTCTTTGAGGCTAAGAGACATGTCTAAGGTCACACTGCTAGTAGGATGAATACCAGAACCTAGGTTATCTCTCCTCCCATCAGATACCCTTACTCTCTACTGCACCTTACAAATACTAGTGATTGACTACTATATACCCCCAGATGACACTATTTACGTTTGTTTTACCAATTTATTTCCACAGCAGGCACTAATACTGCAATAAAATTAGTGATTGTGTCCCTCTTTAGTGCTCTTCTATTCAAATTACTTTATGCCCCAAGGATAGAAAAGTGATGGCCTCTCTGTGCATCTGTGTCTCTTTTTCATTTCATCTTATTCCTGACAAAAAATTGAACCTCTGATGTGGACAGATAAGATTCTGACTCAGTGAGCTGCAAGGCAGGAGTGACTCAGTAGGATAAATGTGTTCTCATGGAAGTCTAGAAAAGCGATCTTAGGGAAGAAAAGAGCATGTACTAAGAAAATTACATTTGCCTCCAAGATGAGTCATGGTGTCAACACCTCATCGGAACTAGTCCATTTTGTCCTAAGTTCTGGGAAGCAGTTAGCTACTTTGCTTCCCTTGTCTATAAGGAAGTATGATATAATGGCAAGAAGGTAGGAGGCCAGAAAATTGGATTCTAAACTGATCTCGACCACTAACTAGCTGTGGGACCGCTTCCCTTCTCTAAGCCTAAGTATCCTCATGGGCAAAAGGAGAATGTCACATTAACTCATCTATAAATGCCTTTTTACTTGAAAAATAATGATAACTAAGTTTTGCAGAGGGCCTCATGAACCACTTCTATGAGCCTTATTGCATTTACTCATCATTACATGCTTGCAAGGGAACCATTTGTCTTTCTTCATTTTACAGATGAGAGAAAGACCAGGACTCAAGAGCCTAAGTGACTGATCCAAGGTCATACGGCTAGAAGTGGTGGAGCCAGGAATCAAACTCATATATCTTTGATCCTGAACTTCATCTTCTTTTCACTACCCCACATCTACATTTGCTTACTCTATGTGTTAAACACTTGTCTGTATCTTATTGATTGACATGACAGTCTCAACAGTTGATTTAGTTGTGTGTATAGATTCTTTTCCTAAATGGCCACATATTACCTTAATTTGATGACTTCCAACTAAAGAAACGTGATAAATTGTAAGGAAGAATAATCTTTTATGACAGGGGTAATGGAGAAAGTAAATAGTTTCTTGAATAAATAAAACTTATTAATATGCCATTGTATTTAGGGCTTAAACTTACTCAGAAACCAATAAATCACCAAAATAATGCATCCTTCTGAAAGGCCATCCAAGACCTGCTTCTCAACCATTCACAACATCTCTATCCACACACAAGTCTGAGACGGAGACTTTGGGTGATATGTAGCCGATCAACTACACCTTGTGGCTGAGCCCTGGGGGAAGTAGACCTAACTAGAAAAACACCCAGATGGACTTTTGGCTGGGTTTCAGTAGGGGCATTCCATCTTCTCAGAAGCAGAAAACTGATAAGTCATCCTTTTTATTACTCAATGTGGTCTATGGCTTTAAATGATCCTGTTTAGTTTCTGACTCAATAAGCCTGAACCGATCTCCTAGAAGGCAAGCTCTGTGCCATGTGGGAAATAAGAAGAATGAATAAAGATGGATGGTTCTTATTCATAAGGAGCTTCCATACCAGTGGGGGAGACAAGTAAATCATAATTACTAATCCACACAGGATGCAGTAAATGAATAGGAACAGTAGATGGGCTATGGAAGCTCAGAGCATAGAATAAAATAAATCTGACTTGGTAGGGGCAGGGAATGGAACTGATGATCAAATGATCAAGCAAGGCTTCACAGAGGAAGTGGCACTTGAGCTGTGACTTAAGGAAGGGTATGATTGCAAGAGATGGAGAACTGAAGAAACAGCATCCCAGGCTGAGAGAGCAGCGTGTGGAAAGTCACAAAGGCATGAATTTTTATACTGACATTTAGATTGTCTTGAATTCCATGCTTTATTCTGTAGGCATTAAGGAGGCGTTGCACATTTTGGGGTAGGAGATAGATGTGATCTGTCTTGAGGTTAAGTAAGAAAAAGTAGGTGGTGGTATGGAAGGATGGATGGTGGGGAGAGAGGAGATACAGGATAAATTGGAGGTAATCATGAGGTTATGAAATGATGATAAGATATTGAGAGCCTGAATGGTGGTGATAATGGAAATGAAGACATGAATGCAATTTTTTTTGTGTTTCCACACCGAAGAGGGAGAACCTGATCAGTTGGATACGGAGATGATGAAGAAAGACGTGACCATCTGATCTTCAATAAAGCTGACAAAAACAGGCAATGGGAAAAAAGACTCCCTATTCAATAAATGGTGCTGGTATAACTGGCTAACCGTATGCAGAAGATTGAAGCTGGACCCCTTCCTTACACCAAAAAGTCAACTCAAGCTAGATTAAATACTTAAATATAAACCCCAAAATTATAAAATTCCCTGGAAGACAAACTAGGAAATACCATCCTGGACATAGGAATGGGCAAAGATTTCATGACAAAGACACCAAAAGCAACAACAACAATTGACAAATGGAATCTAACTAAACTAAAGAGCCTCTGCACAGCAAACAAAACTATCAACAGAGTAAACAACCTACAGAATAGGAGAAAATACCTGCAAACTATGCATCTGAGAAAGGTCTAATATCCAGAATCTATAAGGAACTTAATTCAACAAACAAAATGCAAATAACCCCATTAAAATAGGCGAAAGACATGAACAGACACTGCTCAAAAGAAGACATACAAGGAGCCAACAAACATGTGAAAAAATACTCAACATCACTAAATCATCAGAGAAATGCAAATCAAAACCACAATTAGATACCATCATGCACCAGTCAAAATGGATATTATTAAAAAGTTAAAAAAAAAAAAAAACAGATGCTGGCAAGGTTGTGGAGAAAAGGAATACTTATACATCGCTGATGGGGTGTGTAAATTAGTCCAACCATTGTGGAAAGCAGTATGGCAATTGCTTAGAGAGCTAAAAGCAGAACTACCATTCAACCCAGCAATCTCATTACTGGGTATATACCCAGAGGAATATAAATCATTCTCCCTCAAAAACACATGCATGCAAATGTTCATTGCAGCACTATTTGCAATAGCAAAGACATGGAATCAACCTCAATACCCATAGACTGCATAAAGAAAATGTGGTACATATACACCATGGAATACTATGCAGCCACAAAAAAAGAATGAGATGATGTCCTTTGCAGGGACACGGATGGAGCTGGAGGCCATCATCCTTAGCAAACTAACTCAAGAGCAGAAAACCAAATACCACATGTTCTCACTTATCAGAGGGAACTAAATGATGAGAACACATAGACACATAGAGGGGAACAACACACACACTGAGGCCTATCAAAGAGTGGAGGGTGGGAGGAGGGAAAGGAGAAGAAAAAATAACTATTGGGTACTCGGCTTAATACCTGGGTGATGAAGTGATCTGTACAACAACCCCCCATGACATGAATTTACCTATGTAACAAACCTTCACATGTACCCCCGAACCTAAAATAAATATTTTTAAAAAGCCAAAAATAAATAAATAAATAAATAACTTACATAACATTTAACTGTTACATAACACTTAACACACAGCCTGTTCTAAGGGTTTTACATAAATTAACTTATTTAATCCTCACAAAAACTTTTAAGACAGAGACTGTGAACTTTAAACATTAAGAAACTCAGGGAAAGAGAAATATGATTTTCTGCCCAAATTCACACAGCTAGCTCTATGTTAAAGATGGAATTGAAATCCAGGCACTTTGGCTTTTGAAATCCATGTTTTTTAACCACCACCCTCAAAAGCCAATAGGATTTGGGTGCACCTGTAACCACATAGCCTTGCAAATACTTAACATTTTATCATAACTTATTGCCAATGTAAGTCCAAAATAATACCTCATAATTATTTTGATTTATATGTTTATGTTAGTGATAGGACCACTTTTGTATACTTATTGGCCATTTAAAATTTGTTCTGCTTGTTTATTTGATCATTTCCTTATTAGGATGTTTTTTTCAACATTGTAGAACTATTTATATACGAGGAGCCCTGCATCTTTGTCATATATTAGGTTGAATCACATAAAATTGCCAATATGTGACCATTTTTGATCTATAAAAATGTCAGTTTCATATGGTTCAATGTAATGTATTCATTAGTCATAACAATAAGTGATATTTATTTAACACATGCAAATCACTGTGTTTTATTTACATATATCTCCTCATTTAATTCTGACAACTACTCTAGAGTGTACATGCTATCATCTCCATTTTACAGATGAGGAAACTGAGAGGTTACAAAATTTGCTAAAGTTCATGAAGCTAGTGGTAGGCATGTATGGGGGGAGGGGTATCAGGATTTGACTATGGTCTTTTGGACTCAAGGGGATATGATTTTAACCACTGCGCTATATCGTTTTGCATGTTTGTATTCCAGATAACTGTTTAGACACAAGTTTCTCCAAAAAAAATCCTGGTGGAATTTTAATTTGGATTATGTTAAATTTATAGATTAATACATGGAGAATCAATATCTTTATGCTATTGAGTCTTCCTATCTAAAATCAAGGTATGTTTCTCCGTTAATTATTCTTTTAGCCCCTTTATAGAGTTTTATATATTTATTTACAGGACTATTCAAAATGATAATTCCAAGGACTTAATAACGTTTATCCTTTGGGTTTTTATCTTTGTGTTGCTAATGTGATGGAATTGTTTTCCATTATATAATCTAAACAGCTACTATTTGTATATAGAAAAGTACTGATTTGAGTACATTAATTTTGTACTTATTCATTATACTAAATTCTTTCTATCTCTTGAATCTGTTTCCTTCTTTCCATCACAAGACAACCATCCTCTCTTACCTGGATGACCAGTCTCCTAACACCTTTTTGCCTCCTAGCTTCCCTGCTAAAATTTGTCTCACACTGTTACCACAGTGAGCTTTCAAAAGTACAAATCTCATACTTGCTTTAAACCCTTAAGGGGATTTATGCCCATTGCCTTTTGGAAACATTTATGCCCCCTCACAAGGTTTCCAGGTCTCCTTGTGACCCAGACTGATTTATCTACCTTTTAAACAGTGTGTCTTGCTACTCACCCACATGGATACAATATCCTAGCCATACTAACTACTCTTATTTATTATAATGCAGTGTGAACATTCAGGCCTTAACACTTATTGCATCCTATGAATAGAATGCATTTCTGCCTTATTCCCCTTCTTCCTGGGGAATGACCCTTCATATCTCAGCTCCTCAGCTCTTCTCTGAAGACTTTTGAGTTCTACAGGCAGCTTCTCCATGCCAGTCACTGTGTTTCCACACTGTACCATTTATATGTCCCCAGTATTGCCCTTACCATGCAGGATTGTCATTGTTTCTCTACACAGGTTAGTAGTCAAGATGGCCTTTAGAACCAGACAGATCCAAGTTCATAGCTCATGCAACCACTTGCTATTTGTGTGACCTTGGGAAGGGTATATGATCCCTCGTGGATAATAATAGATAGCTCATGGGGAAATTGTGAGGATTATTTAGGACAATGTGTGCAAAGTACATAGCCTAGTGCAAGGCACACAGTAGATACTCAGTATTTTTTTTTATTTAATAATGCAGAAGATGAGAAGAAGTAAGACTAACCAGATGGCATAGGCTTCAGGGACAGAGGGGTTGCTAAAGAAGATTTATGGAAGTTATGCTGGGGAGCAGGGAGAGAGATAGCTTATATGTTATCCTGTGGAGTGAGTACTGTGGAAAAGTGAGCAGCCTTCACTGAAGAGTAATGTTAAACAATGACATTTTAAGGGAAAATCGTGTTTTGGTTAAGGCAATGATAACTGCAGAGGAAATGTTTAAGATTTTCACTGGAAGTTACATGCGATATTGTACCTGGAAACCCTCAACTCTCCTACTCTAGAGAACAAGTTGCCCTAACAGGCTGAGGCAAAAATGTAGTCAGTGGTGGTGAGTCATAAGAGGGATGCCAAGTGTGGAATCACCACAGATGCCAGTCAAGGTTCAACGTGACCAGCTGTTCAGGGTGCTTTGACAATCCAAAGCCTTGAAACTACGTAAAGGCTCCTTCTGAGTCAAATATCAAAAAAAAATAGATCCCAAATGACTCATAATATGATTTCTCCCAGATGCTCTTTCTGATAACTTTGTTTCCAACATTGATATCTGATGCTCTCCTAATTACTTTGGACCACTTTCTTTCTGGAAGACTCTATATGGCTCTTATCATTGAGCAGCTGCTTCGCAATGAAGATGGGAAAAGACCTCCACTATCTTCTGTTGTGATCTAAGGCCCTCAGTGATGTACCCATTGCCCCCATGTATCTTCTCGGGAAGGCCTTTCTGAGGCTTTGGCTGGTATCTTAATTTCTTGTGGAATATACGTACTGGTGTTCTGGTGCTGTGATGTCTGGATATGTTGAGGTATTGACCATACCCTGGCCCATGGTTTTCCTTTTGTTTATGTGGAGAGAGTCCCTGCTCTGGTAAGGGAAGAGATGAAGGGAAGGGAGGGTAGAAGAGGGGAGGGGAGGGGAGAGGAGGGGAGGAGAGGGGACGGAACAATTTACTGTGCCTTTTTAAAAAGAGATCGGCCAATAAAAAATGTAGATTTTGGAGACAGACAAATCTAGTTATAGCCTTGCCTTCCTCACTTTTAGGTCTGTAGTGTGGGGCTGGTTAATCTTTCTGAGCTTTAGTTCATCTGTAAAATGAAGCCAATATGATTTCATGTGCATGAGCAAATAAACATATAAAAAACTATGGATTTTTTTTTTATCTTTTTATAAAGAAACTTTTTAAAAAGCAAAACCAGACCCAGAAGTTGTCTAATTGAGAGCACAGTGGATTTAGGACCCACCCAGACCTGGGCTGGAGTCCTGGCTTGTGTGACACTGAGGAAGTCACCTTGCATTTCTAAACTTCAATGGTGTCCTGAGTGTTAAATTTCTTAAATTGAATTAAAGTCAATGTAAAGTGCACATGAAGTGCCTAGTGCAGTTTCTGAAACATAATAGGCTGTTTTAGTCAGAGATCTTCAAAGAAACAGAACTAATAGCATATATAAATATATATATATATGTATGTATATATATAGTGTGTGTATATACATACATATATATATATATTTCTTATGAAGAATTGGTTCACATGATTATGGAGGATGAAAAGCCCTCCAATCTGCTGTCTGCAAGTTAAAAACCCAAGAAAGCTAATAGTATAATTCCAGTCTGAGCCTAAAGGCTTGAGAACCATGGGAGCTAATAGTATAATTCCTAGTCCAAGAGCAGAAGATGAGATGAGATGTCTCAGCTCAAGCTGTGATACAGAAAACAAAATGCAAGGGGGGGCTAGCAAATTCCTCCATCCTCCACCTTTTGTTCTATTCAGACCCTCAGTGGATTGGATTATACCCACCCACACTGAGGAGAGCAATCCTCTTTATTACTGAATCCCTGTATTTAACTGCTAATCTTATCCAGAAATGCCCTTGAAGACATACTGAGAAATAAAGTTCAATCTGGGCACCCCATGGCCCAGTCAAGTTGACACATAAAATTAACCATCACATAGGGCCTCAGTAATTTTTAGCCATTGTTATCATCATCATCATTATCATCATCCTCAATGGACATGTTTGCTTTTCTAGTTTTGGCATCAACAGCAGCAACAAACATTTATTTGATGCTTATTCTATCCAAACAGATATCCTCTGTTTGTTACCCCAGTTGTTACTTAAATGTTGAATAGCCTTGAATAGTGGAAGCCAAAGCTATGGTTTTGGTGGTAACATCTAGTCATCATTTATCAGTCTACACAACATACTAAATTTAGAAAGCCCCTAAAAGTTCTTTGTCCTCAGACATAGGAGTATTCCCGGAGTCACAGGGGAAGGTAGAGTGCTTGAAGGTCCTGAAGCAGTTGCGATGTATTTTTAGTTCCTACATTATAGTGTTTTCCCCCCTCTCTTTTGTATGCACAGGTGTGTTGAGTAGGGTTGTGGAAGTAAGAGATCTTGAGATTGAAAATGGGCTAGATTGTCTTCTTTCTTTGTCATTTAAGAAAATGATTCACCTTTCCATTTTGGGGCCCTTTCCATAACTAAGGGGTACCTTTAGCCAATTATGACTCACTTTTCTATTTTTGTGTTATAGATTTAGACTTGAAACCTTATACAAATGCAATTTTGATATATGTTTTCTTAATAGTAAAAGTGACTAAAACTCCCTATAAAATCAAAGATCTTTGTGAAAATGTCACCAAAATAGAAAAAAGAAACCTTTTATATGTAGTAGCAATTTACTCTCATCTAACAATGCCAAGGGGTTGAAAGAATTATCTCAGATATTTTTAAAAATTGATGGGCTTAATTTTTTTACATCCTGGATTGTTAACAAAAGAACAATAACAAAAAAAATTTTAGTAGGCAGACATGCACACACACCTGGGACCAATTAAATATTTTTCCTTCATCTTAATCAGAACTCTGGGGCTCCTCTCTTTCACAGTAGACCTACATTCCTCAATTTTGAAGGTTTTCTTTTCTAAATGCTATTTTTTTTAAAAAAAACAAATTTACTGATATTATTTGAGGATTTATTTAAATCAAATAAATTACTAGTTTTAATGGTAGTAATGATATTTCACATTTGGATTGATGTTACAGATTTCAAATGACTTCCACACATTATTTTACTTGATCTTTACAACAGACAACAGTCTTATAAGGTAAGCTGGCCAGTCCACATTCCCACTGTATAGATGAAGAAACTGAGTCTTAATACTAGTTCAGGATCATACGTAGGTCGTCTGATGACTTAACCCAGTATTCTTCCAAATGCACTGCTGTACTACTCAGTCATTGTTTCCTTTTTATTCCTTTAAAATGGCATGAAGAACTCTATTAGTTTCCTGCAGCTACTGTAATAAAGTACCACAAACTTGGTGGCTTAAAGCAATAGCAATTTATTCTCACATAATTCTGGAAGCCAGAGTCTGAAATAAAGGGATCAGTAGAGCCATGCTTCCTCTGAATGCGCTAGAGAAGAACCCTTCTTTGCCTCTTAGCCCATCAATCCTTGGTGTTTCTTGGCATGTAGTTGCATTACTCCAATCTCTATCTTCATTGTCATGTGGCCTTCTCACTGTGTGTCTCTGCGTCTTTGTCCAAATTTCTGTCTTCTCATGAGGATACCAGCCATATTAGATTAGGGCCCACTCTACTCCAGTATGACCTCATCTTAACTAATTACATCTACAATGACCCTATTTCCAAATAAGATGACATTCCTGAGGTACTTGGGATTAGGGTTTTAACAAATTATTTTTGGCACAATTCAACCCATAACAAGTACGAGCCATGGCTTTCTTTTCCTGGGCGTAATTTGATAAATTACACTTAAAAAAAAAAAGTTATCACACCAAGCATCAAAACGCATATATAAATGTTGACAAAAACACACAAAAATATCTTAATCAGTGGTATAGTATTTGATGATTTCTATCTATACTACAAATGGCTGGTGGGTTGAGTTTTTTGTGTATACTTTTGAAGCATTTTCTTGTAAGTAGACATGTGTTCTCCCGTAAATAATCTCTCATTTTTGAGGGATACCAAAACCTCTTAGCTCCTAAGGGGAGGGGAGGTTACTAAGGGTGGAAATTTTTGGAAAATATCTTCAGGCATATATTTGTGTCTTTCGTAATGTGGATCTGGATACCACAAAGCTGGAATTGGATCCATGTTTGAATGTGATTCTCAGGAGCAGTTGCTTTTGGAGGGTACTTAGAGAGATTTTGTGATGAGAGAGGAGTAATCAGAAGGCATTTCCTTTCAACTGGGGTAAGAGTGTAAGTTTAGCTTTGGGGCGTGACCTTGTTCAGTGCTTTGTAACACAAATCCCCATTACATTCATAACAACAGGGCTTGCAGGAGGCCTTTGAGTAAATAATGGGTTCAATGTAAGGAGCATTTAGTGAGCAGTTACTCTTTGCAAGGTCCTTTATTATGTTGGACACAGAGAGGAGTCGATCATTACACTCCAGGGAATCTAGCCTAGTTCAAGTAAAAATAATACTGGCAACCTACTTTGTGCAAGGCACGGTAAAGATACTGGTGATATAAAGGTGATGAAGAAGGGAAGAAGAAGGAGGAGGTGGAGGAGGAGAAAACATCACAGGGGCATTCAATTTCTAGTGAAAGGGGGAAGGCAAGTAGGAAGGCTCATATAATTCAGCATATTCAGGCCTGTGGGAAGACAGACAAGGTGCAACTAGCACAGCCTGGGACTTCAGGCAGGACCACCACATTGCATGATTCTGAGGAACACTAGTCACATAACTTGCAATACGAGGGTCCTGGTTCTGTGGGAAGGTGCTGCTGCCTTAGCTGATTAAACGGTGAATTAGAGTCAGCCAATAACATATGGAGAACAGATCCACCCCCATTTCATACTGTTCTGCAAATTAGACAAAGTACCCCTTTGTCTAGGTGTGTGCAGCCTTTGAAATGGAATATAAGAAGTTTGGACCTGATTCTGCCAGTGGGGAGTGGGGAATTGCCTTGACTGTACTGGGCAGAGTATCAAAGTAGTAACATTAGAAAAGTTGCCAAGGTATCAATACAAAGAACAGTGGAAGGGGAAGAGTGTGGAAGCAGTGAAGCCAGTTAGAGGCTATTATAAAGGTTCAGGAAGAGGAGGATGCTGTCATCTCTGACCAGGTCAGTAGCTTGGTCTTCGCACTCCTTATCTAGTCCTGCTACAACCTATTTTCAACCCAGCAGATAAAGTCAGTGTTTTCAAGCATAAGACAAATCATGTCATTCCCCTGCATATACCCTGTCAGTGGCTTCTTATTACCTCCTCACATCACTGATCTTGGCATTCAAGGCTTGGAGATGGCATAGCCTCCCTCTTCCAGTTCACCCCATCCCACTCTTCCCTTTTATTTTCTGGGATCTAGTCAAACCGCTTTCTTTTCAGCATTTGAAACACAAAAAGCTCTTATCTTCTTTAAGACCTTTGCATGGACTTTTTCCTTCAGCTTGGAAAGCTTTTCCCCAGATCTTGTTATCATCCTAATCTTTCAGATCTCAGATAAAATGTCTTCTACTCAGAGAGGTCTTTACTTTATCACTTTACTTAAAGCATCCTTTCTGTTACCCTATCTCCTCATCCTACATGGTGGACACTGTTAACTGACTACATAGCGTGAATTCCCTCTTCCTGCCTAAATGGGACACTGCTTGTGTTCATGTGTTTAACTGTCTCCCATTCAACTCTGTGTCTTAAAGGAATCTGATGCTGCCATAGTTGCAAGAATGGGCATGCTTAGTATACAGGTAACTGTATTTTACTTGCTAACTGTTGGTTGAGGAATGGACATGAGACCCAACTCTAGACAATGCATTCATTCACGCAAGAGATGTGTTCTGCACACCTTCGGCCTTTGTTTGTGCTGCTATAACAAGATATTACAGACCGGGTGATTTATAAACAATAGACATTTATTTCTCACAGTTCTAGATGCCGGAAAGTTCAAGATCAAGGTACCAGCAGGTTTAGTTGTCTGGTGAGGGTCTGGTCTCTGTTTCCAAGATGGTGCCCTGAATGCTGCATCCTCTGGAGGGGAGGAAAGCTATGTCTTCACGTGGCAAAAGGTAGAAAGGTAAAGGGGGTAAACTCCCCCCATCAAGCCTTTTTATAAAGAGTACCTAATCCCACTCACAAGTGAGGAGCCCTCATGGCCTAATCACCCCTTAAATGCCACATCTCTTAATGCTATCACATTGGCAGCACATGAATTTTGCAGGGGCACATTCAAATCCTAGCACCTTCTATAAACCATACACTTCTATGTCCTGGGGATACAGCAATAAACAAAGCAAATTTTAAAAATCTGCCCTCATGTAGTTTACGTTGTAGTAGGGGGAACAGGCAAGGAGCTAAGGCAGAAATAGGGAGAGCAGCTTAATTATTGCAATAATCCAGGTGAGAGATGGTGACAGTGAATTAGTGAGAAGTTGTATGTTTCTGGATATATTTTTGAGGCACAATCAGGGTGAGAGATGGTGACAGTGAAGTGGTGAGAAGTTGTATGATTCTGAATATATTTTTAAGGTACAACTGATAGAATTTATTGGTAAATTGAATATGAAGTATAAACAAAAGAGGGAGAAATCCTGGAAGATACAAAGATTATTTTTCCTGAGAAACTGAAAGAATGGAGTTGCTGTTAACTGGATTAGACAGATGGCAGGATAAGCTGGTTAGGGGGGTGGTCAGGAGTTGAATTTGGAACATTTAAGTTTGAGATGGCTGTTAGACATACAGATGGAGATATCAAATAGGCAGTTGATTATAAAAGTTCAAGGGAGAGGTCCAGATTGGAATTATAAATTTGAGAGTCATAAGCATATAGATGATCTAAGTCTTGAGACTAGATGATATAATCATGAGACTTACTGTAGAGAAAAAAAAAGAAAAGTGAAATGAGAAATAAGATATTAAGCTGAAATCTGCAGAAGAAGATGAGAACCAGCAAAGGTGACAGGCAAGGAATAGTCAGAAAAGTAGGAAGAAAACCCTAAAAATATGGCTTCATGAAAGTCAAATGAAGAAAGTGTGTTAGGGAGGGTAGAGTGATCATTTGTGTCAATGGCTACAGAAGGGCCAACCAAAATGGAGTAATGAGCACCAGATTTAGTCACATGGAAATCATGATCATTTGGGATTGCAGGCAGGGTGAGCCTGATTGGAATGGGTGGAAAAGAAAACTAGAGAAAAAGAACTTGAAGACTGTGAACATAGGTTGATTTTTCAAGTGTTTTGCTATAAATAGAAGGAGAGAACTTAGGTGGCAGCTAAAGGGGAAATATGAGTCAAGGGGTTTATTTCATTTAATTGTGTCAAGATAAAAGAAATAACAGCACATTTACATGCTCATGAGAATGATCCATTGCAGAAGAAAAACTTGATGATGGAGAAGAAAGAGATTGATTAGAACAAAGTCCTTGGTTAAGTGAGGGATGATGAAGTGTACTGTACGGTACATTCATAGAAATTGGAGGGAAGGCAGGCTGTGTGCAAATGCAAGTAGGTGTGAGCTCATTCAAGTTTTCTTCTATTTTCTTATTGAAATAGGAAGTAAGGTCATCAACTGATAGTAAGGTGGGGGAGGAAGAGTTCAAAGTATGAGGAAAGAAACAAAGGTATATTAGTCAAGGTTCTCCAGAGAATAGTACCAATAATTTTTATATATATTATATTAAATATAATATATATAAATATAATATATAATATATAAATATATTATATATTATATAAATATAATATATAAATATATTATATATTATATAAATATAATATATATTACATATAATATATATATAAATTCTATATATATAATGTCTATATATAAATAATATATGTGTGTATATATATATTATGTATTATATAGTATATGTGTGTGGTGGGGGGAGGAGATTTAGAGATTTATTATGGGAATTGGCTCATGCAGTTATGGAGTCTAGAAGTCCATGATCTGCCATCTGCAGGTTGGAGAACCAAGAAAGTCAGTGGTGTAATTTAGTCTGAGTCCAAAGGCCTGAGAACCAGGGGGCCTGCTGGTTTAAGTTCTAGAGTCTGAAGGCCTGAGAACCAAAAGCTCCAATGTCTGAGAATAGGAGAAGATGAACATTTCAGCTCAAAAAGTGAAAGAATAAATTCCTCCTTCCACGACCTTTGTGTTCTATTCGGACACTCAACAGGTTGCATGATGACCACCCACACTGGGGAGGGCAGGTCTTTACTCAGTCTAATGATTCAAAGGCTAATATCTTCCAGAAACACTCTCACAGACACATCCAGAAATAATATTTCACCAGCTATCTGGACATACCTTAGACCAGTCAAGTTGTCACATACAATTAATCATCACAGAAGGTATAAAAGAGTTTTCCAGAAGAGTAGAAGAAAGAATGGAGTCAGGAAATATGATTGCAAGGCAGCATTAAGAGTTCACCTAAGGCAATGGCCATTAACTTCAAGTGAGACCAGTCCTTACCGTGGTAAGGTTTTCTCTTGGCACATTCAGCTGAATGGGTAGAGACATGAGTAAAAGATGGATATAATGAGACATGAGGAGAAGCCTGTTGCAGAATTTCTGGTAAGACTTTCCTGTCATTTATTTGAGTAGGAGTAGATCCAGATCATGTGGGAACTAAAGCTTTTACAGTTTGAGGGGAGTACTCTTTGATAAAAGCAATTCAAAATTGCAAGCATAAAATTGTTTATGGGATTTCATATTTAAAATGAGAACATAAATCATAAGTTATAACTTTTAAAAATCTGACATCACAGGTTCAGCAAAGCAACTCATTGTTTTTATCAGCTGCCTTGCAGACTGTTATATATTTTTTCCCTAGACTTTTTTTGGCCGAAACTCTTTGATCACCTCTTTTAATGACAATGATTTTGTAATATTTTCTACAGAATGATAAATTAGTGTTTCCTCTAACATGGTTGATTAAAATTTTATTTTTTTCTCATTAGTAATTTAGAAGCATTACTTTGAGCTTCGGAACTTGATGTTAGTACTATCAGATAGATTTTTAGAATTGTCACATTTGGGGAAAACCTTTATCAAATTTCTTTCATTAATGTTGAAAGAAAAGTTTTTCAGGTCTTCTTGTGCAAAGATTACTCTTTGAATTAAGACACTTATAAACCAGTTTGTGGAATGGCCTCCTACAAATGGCAAACTCAGTTTTATATTCATTGTCAGTATCATTAGTTCATAGCAAATTACAAAAAAATTTAAGTATTTTCTCCAATATGTTTATGTGATTCACTCCTCTTCATTAAGTGGAATATCAAAAAACCCAAGTCTTTCTGTTGGATGTTTATAATTATGATGCTGATATAGGAGAAAATTTCAGTTTTGATAAGTTTGAATGAAAACCAAAATTTCCCCTTATAATTTTATGTTTGATGGTTGGAAGAATTTTTCACAGAGTAGCTTCTGGCTCTGATTGTTTCAAACCTTGTTTGTTTTCCAATTCCACATATTTCTGGTATCGGGCTTTGTAGGATAATACTGTGATATGATCTCTGCCCAGCACCTTCATTTCCCTAAAATTCCCAGTGCAACCTGCCCCAAGGGAAAGTGTAACAAGAGATTTTGGAGTAGAGAGAGTGGCTTTAACTGAAAGTGGTCAAAATCTTATCTTTTCAAATTTTATGAAAACCTATGACCTTGTGAACACATTGCTAGGCCCTACCTAGAGCTTTGAAAGGAGCCTGTTCAAGTGAGGGACCCTAAAGCTTGATTAATCTTCATTAGCATCACAATAAAGTTTCCCCTGTTTTGTGAGAGGCCCAAAAGAAAAATGACTTTGTTGTATCTTCAGGTGATACCTAAAATTGCTGCAGCATCTTCCTCCCAGGCTGAGGATGAAGCCAGTTTCAAAGATGACGGAGCAGTGATAGAGACTACATGGATCCTTGATATTGTTGAGTCATTATTGAACCAATTCTGGAGCCTACCTTACCTCTGGACTTTATTCCTTAAATGATTTTGAGTTGGAGTTTCTATTACATATAGCTGAAAGCTTCCTAATTTCCTTTGTCTACTCTCCTTTCCTCTAAGTACTTCTCAATTTCCAAAATTATCTTTTGAGTTTACCTGTTTGGGGCTTTATTGTCTATCTAAATGTAAGTTTTACAAGACTTTATTCTGTCTACTACAGTATCTACAAAACCAAAAACAGTGCCCAGCTCATAGTAAATGTTCAATAAGTATTTGTTGAATTAGATGAATGAATAAACAAAGTGTGGTGTTAACAGTGAGTGAGGCTGGCAATGAGTCCTCACTTTTATTATGTTTTGCACTCTCAAATATGTACACTACAGAAAAGAGGCCATTTCAGTGAAAATATTCACCTGGTTATTGTGATTGCTATGTTGAAGCATTGTTATTGCAGACATTTCTTCATTCTACTCAGGACCAAGGGCCCACTGATTTCCTCCTGCCAACAAAGGCCAGGATGCTCTGGGGACTGAATGTGCAAGCCCAAAGGTTGTATTGTCTTGTTTCCATATATAGTATTAAATTATGGGCTATCCAACAGTTAAAGAAGCTAGACCTCTTGGTAGGGAAAAGAAATAAAACATTTTCTTTGGAGAGTAACTTTTGGCTCCTAAGTATGCTTTGTTCTTCACAACCCATCTGTCACCATGTTCTGACATTTCCTTGAACAGAACATCATGTGTATTTGCCCTCATCTCTTTATTCCCTGAGTAGGCTCCTTCCTGGAGTTATCTAGTGTCCTCAGCACTTTCACAAATATTCTTCAACAACCCACTCTCCATCTCTGGCCAGATTCATCCTTAATTTCTCACATTAATGACTGCTTTCTACCAAGGAGCCTTTAGTGGCTTCCTGGGGTCCTGGAGGTTAAAGCTGTATTAGTTTCCTCTCAGCTTTAAGGAAAAGATATTAGATTCCCTGGATACAATTGGCAACTATAGTCTTGGTGCTAGTGACAGCAGCCAATTCCTATTGCAAGGCACAAGACCACTCCATGAACTAGAGAAAACTGCCTAAGTACTGACTCATCCATTTACTCTGTATTTATTTATTTATTTATTTATTTATTATTTACTGGGCACTTACTGTGTACCAAACACTATGGACTAAGCTGGAGATACAGAATCAGGCACAGTCCTTGCCCTGAAGGTGCTCACTGTCTGGTGGAAAAAACACACATAAACTGATGTTTACAATTCAGTGTAACGAGGGTAGATGAATGTTAGAAGAGCCCTTTGGAGGGTCATCTAGCCCCCTCATGGTGATGTAAGGAGGAAAATCCTATGGTAATCTAGCAAGGATGAGTACAAATTAGCCCCTTTTTGATAGAGTATTGAAGTAAGGTATTCCAGAATAGGGAACAGCATGCACAAAGCCCTGAAAGACAGAATGTATATAGCACATTCAAAGAATGAAGAAAATCAGTATGGTTGGTGAAAGAGTTGTGAGAATAGGGTTAGTAGATAGATGAAGCAGGAGAGGCAACAAAGAACCAGAGCATGAAGAACTGTTAACGTATTAAATGTGTCTTTAAGAATTTAGACTTTGGCTGAAGAGAAGTGGGTAAGTACTGATGGGTTTTCAACATGGAAGTGGCATGGTCAAATGTGCGTTTTAGAAACAGCACTATGGCTTCAATGAGGAAAATTGATTGGAGAGGATTCCTGTGATAGGGAGCGTGGCTAGGAGACTGGTGTAGCAGCTTAGGTGAGAGATAATGGTGACCTGATCTATGATTTTAAAGGTGAATATGGAAAACATGAACATATTTGAAATATATTTTGGAGACGTAGTTTACAGGAATTGGTGACTAATTTAGTTGTCTGGGAGTTGAAGCAGGGGGTGAAGTTAAAGTAGGGATGGTGGTAGGCAATAATTTCTTAAATGGAAAACAAAAAGCACTAGAAAATGAAATTTTAATAAAAATACATACGTTGACTTTATTAAAATTAGGAACTTCTATTTGTCAAAAGATGCCATTCATAGAGTGAAAAGGCCAAGTAAGGACTAGGAGAAGATGATTTGAACTCATATCTAGAATATATAAAGAAATTATATACATTAAGAAGAAAAAGCCAACCCAATTTAAAATTTGGGTAAAAGACTTGAACAATCACTTTACAAGAGGATTTCTAAATGGTCAATAAGCATATGAAAAGGTGCTCAACATTACTAGTCATGAGGGAAATTTACATTAAAACCACAGTGAGATATCACTATACTCCCAGCAGAATGGCTAAAATTAAGAAGGCTAACAATATCAAGCTTTGGCAAAGATGTGGAACAATTAGACCTCTCGTACACTGATGGTAGGAGTATAAATTGGTATAACCAGTTTGGAAAACTGATCAGCAACATCTACTAAAATTAAACATGTATCTACCCTGTGACTCAAAAGTTCAACTCCTGGGATAAATAGAGGACTATGTTTACCAAAAGATGTGTATAAAAATATTGATGTCATTCTTATGAGCCCCAACTGGAAAAATGCAGATCTCCATCAACAGTAGAATGGACAAACAAGTTGTGGTATATTCATAAAATAAAATACTACAGAGAAATAAAAAGGAACAAATAACTGACAGATAAAATCACATAGATACATCTCACAGATATAATGTTTATGAATGACAAATGAGTACCTACAATATGATCCCATTTATCTGAGCAGGCACGACTAATAAAAAGTTATAGATGTCAAAAGAGTGGTTATCTTTAGATGTTGGTACTGACTGGGAAGGAGCACTAGGGAGCCTTTGGGGCACTAAAAATCTTCCACATCTTGAGAGGGGGAGTGGTAACATGGGTGTACACACATGCAAATATTCATTGAACTTTATACTTAGGTTGTTTGCACATTGTTTGAACATAATTATAGTACTTTGGGACAGGCATAGGGGTTTTAGAGAGAAGATGACATCAAATTTGGACATTTTGAGTTGTAAGTACATAAACACATTGAAATATATCAAACCGAAACTTGGGAGAGAGATCTAGACTTGATTCTTCAATTAGAGGCTGTTTTCCACACACAAGTTTATATGGAGGCCGTAAAACAGGATAAAAGCATGCAGTCCATAAGATTCAGAATAATGAGTGATCTTTGCTTTTAGAAACCCTTATGCAAAAATATAGTGTGGAATAATGAATAACATTGTTAAAAAAATAGATCAGTTGATGGAGGGTCTTAAATCTTGATCGGGAGAGTTGGAATTTGACTTGAGGTGTAGTGGGAAGCTTTGTGGGTTCTTGAGCTTGGGAGGAAGAAAATCAACATGCTTTTAAAAGTAGATAATTCTTGTAGCCATGGGAAAGATAAACAGGAGCACACCAAGTGTATTAGTCTGTTTTCATGTTGCTGATAAAGACATACCTGAGACTGGGCAATTTACAAAAGACAGAGGTTTAATTGGATTTACAATTCCACGTGGCTGGGGAAGCCTCACAATCATGGCAGAAGACAAGGAGGAGAAAGTCACTTCTTACATGGATGGCAGCAAGCAAAGAGAGCTTGTGCAGGAAAACTCCTACTTACAATAACCATCAGATCTTGTGAGACTTACTATCAGGAGAATAGCACAGGAAAGACCTGCCTCCAGGATTCAGTTACCTCCCACTGGGTCCCTTCCACAACACATGTGAATTCAAGATGAGATTTCGGTGGGGATACAGCCAAACCATATCACCAAGTCTGACGAGGGAAGGGCCAGTGAGGAGGCCAGCTGCAGTCATTTAGGCTTGATGTCAGAAAGGCCTGGCCAGAGAAGTGCCAATGAGAATGAAAAGGAGAAGATGCAAGACCAAGAAAGTGTCAGGAAAGAACCAACAAGACTTGGTGGCTGATGGTGTATGGATATGAGGGATAAAAAAAATAAAAGCCTAACTCCAGCTGAAATAATTTGAGTTAGCAGACTTCTTCAAGCCAGCACTTGAACCTATTTCATAGTTATTGAGTGCATTTAATGAGGTAACACATGTAAAGTGGTTAGCACAATGCCTCACACATGCTAAGTATTCAATTAAGTTAGCTGCTATTATTCTATCCACAGCTGCTCACTGCTAGAGAAATTTATGCAACCAGGCAGGTTGGTTCCTCTTTAAATTCCTGGTTACCAACCTCAAATGGGTCCTTAACCCGGCTTACTCCTTCACCCACTGTACCCACTGTTTTTAATCTTTTTACCCTCCTCAAGCACCTTGCCCTGCTTCACACTTTCTGTCTAAGCGTCACCTAGCCTGTCACATTACAGAGAAAACAGATGCCATCAGAACATCTGTTGATCCTCCCTCAACAGTTCACCACCCCAGTCCACATGTGTGTTTCTTTCCCATCCGGTCCTCACCTGCTGTTACCATAAAGAGGTGTGCTGTATCAAAGACCAGTACCCTGGAAAGCACCACTTCTAACCCCCACACTTGTCTCTTTAACCTCCTCATCTCTGGATCAGAGAAGGTAAAAGCAAGGGCTCTTACTGCCCAGATTTGCACACTGGCTTTGTCACTTACCAGCTGCGGAACACTGGGTAAGCCTCTTAACCTCTCGGCACCACCGTGTCCTCAACTGTAAAATGGGGACAATAAACATATCATCTGATAAGGTTGCTGTGAAGCTTCAATTAGATTATACATGAAAAGTGCTTAGCCAGTGTCCAGTATATGTTAGCTAATGGTATTATCTATTGTTCCTTGAGTCTTTCTATCAGAATTCTAATATTCTCAAGTGTCTTCCATCGTAAAAACAAAAAAGCTCCCACATACTCTTCCAACTATTGCCTTCTGTATTTGCTGCAACATAACAACTGAACAAATAATGTGTACACATTACAGTCATTTCCTTTCCTCCCCAATTATTCTTCAGATGCTTCCAAACTTGTCAAAGTCACCAATAATTAAAATGTTGCAGGATCTAACAGACACTCTTCTGTCTTCATATTATTTAACCATTCAGCAGAATTTCCATGGCTTCTTGGGCCTGCCCTCGTCCATTAACCGCTCACTGCCATTGATTTTAGGATTTTCTGTGATCTTGGTTTTCCTCCTACCACTTTATCAGATCTTGCATAATCTTCATTGCCCAATCCACCTCTCCCTGAATTTTAGTTACCAATGTTCTTATGGCCCTGTTCTAGGCCCTCCCATAACTTCAATTACCACCTGCTTTAGTCAGGATGAGCTGTTATATTGTGGTCAGAAATTAGTCCTGAAATATCAGAGATTGAAAAAAAAACAATTTATTTCACACTCATGGCCAATGCAGGGACACTGGATGACATTTTATCACTTCCCAATCTCATGATATGGCCTCAGTGTCCACTACATCAGGGAATCTCAAACATGGAAAACTCCCACTTCCCCCATAACTACTTCCAACTTTACAGTGACATGTGTCACTTTCACAGCCAAACTTAGATATACCGTTTGAATTCACTTTAAGGGAGGCTGAGAAGTCATATTATGTGCCAAGGAAGGAGAAGAGAGCTGATTATGGTGAGTTCTGACTATTTGCACCAAACTATCTATATGCCAATTAACTCGCCAAATGATACGTCTAGCTCAGACCTCTCTTCTGACTTCCAAATCTATTTAAGTTGGGATTCCTGGTTGCAAATAATAGAAATCTAACTCAAATGATTTATGGATATAACATAATTTGTTTTCCAGATTATTAAATTGTCTTAAGAAAGCTAGAGTCTGGGATATCTGCCAGAATTGAACTGGAACCAAGAAAACTAGAACCCAAGAAGGACTCTGTCCATCTAGTGCTGTATTCCTCTCTGTGTGCATCTACTTCATGATTTCCCTTTGCTTGTACCTGAATGTTTCTGCTCCTAGTTGACATTTCAGAACACAGTCACTACCATCCTTTGAATTTCCAAGTCCTCTGTTTTATCTGGCAGAAGAGAGTGTGACTCCTCTTTATCAGCCCTGTGTCTCAAATGCTAGGAAAGAATGTTGATTGTTTCAGCCTAGGATAGGTGCCAGCTCCCTGGCTATATCACTGTGTGTAGGGGCTCTGCAGCTAAGCTAGTGATGGAGAGTGGGCAGCAGAAGGGCAGTTCAGAGAAATGAAGGACAATTTGGGGATAAACAAGACAATAGACGTCAAGTAAAAAATTCAGTAATACATTTAGCCAAGAGTTCATGAAAATCTATTATATACCCAATCCTGTTCTGGGCACTGGGCATGCCTTACTGAATGAGATAGAGCCCCTGCCCTCGAAGAGGTATATTCTTATGGAGAATAATAACAAAGAAATAAATAACATAATTTGAGGTGATAAGAAATACTAGGAAGGAAAATAAAATGAAGTAAATGGAATAATGAGTGAAAGGTAGTGCTACTTGAGATAGGATGATGAAGGACATGACTTCTGAAAAGGTGGCATTTGAACAGAGCCATGAATGAAATATGATAGCAATGCATGAGAATATCTGGAAGGTAGAGTGTTCCAGGCCAAGGGAAGAGAAAATACAATGGCCCTAAGGGATAAATGAGCTGGAGGAGTTCTAGGAAAAACAAGAAGAGTAAGTGAGGGTCAGAGTGGTAGGAGCTGAGCCTGGAGAAACAGGCAGGGTCAGGTTATGCCTAGTTGGCTCTGTTAAGGACTTTGGATTTAAATCTGAGTGCAGAGGGAAGTCTTTGAAGAGATTTGAGAAGCAGGAAGATATGATTTTATTTACATTTTTGGAAGATCATTCTGGCTGCACTGATGATAAATCCCCTAGTGGCGTGAGAGTAGAAGCAGGAAGCCCAAGTAGGGGGCTGCGGCAGTTGTTCAAGTGAGAGAGGACAGTGACTAGAGCTAGAGGGATCACAGTAGAGGTGGTGAACAGAAGTGTTTGGACCGTGGGCGCATTTTGAAGAAACAGCTGTCAGAACCACCGATAGATTGGATGTGAGGAGCGAGAGAGAGAGAGAGGAGAGTCATAGGTTTTCAGCTGGAGCACCCAGATAGATGGTGGTACCATTTACTGTAATGGGGAAGATGAGGAGAAGCTGTTCATTCCTGTGGGAATGAACAAGATTAAGTTATGCTTCTTTGGATAAATTAAATTTCAACAGACAGCTATCAATAAGGTGGGAGCCATTGGTGTATAGATAATATAAATCCAAGGGACTCAATGTGTCATGAGCACACCAAAAGATGGATGCTTGAAACCAAGCTCTCAAGCTTCCCACACCCTCTCTTCAACCTGTATCTCCTCCGGTAATCCCTAGTTCAGTAGAACATATCACCACATACAAGATTGTTCCAGTGGAAAAACCCGCATGTCATTGTTACTTTTTCCTCTTCATGCCCAAACACCCAATTTATCACCAAGTTGTAATTGATTTCAAAGGCAAAGTTTCTCTTGAATCCTACGATTTCTCACTAAAACAATTGTGTCTTTTCCCTGCTCAAAACTATTTGAGGGCTTCTCATTGCTTGAAGATAAATCCAAACCCTTCCCACAACTCACAAGGCTTTGAATGAGTGAACCACTGTGGTCCTCTCAAGCTTTATTTTATATCTCACAGGGTTCTTCCTGGTGCCCTCACTCCTGTCGCACCAGCCTTTTTTCAGTTCCTTGAACACACCATAAACTCTCTCCTCCAGACCTCATTTGTTGTTCCTGAAACACTCTTTCTCCACCTCTGTGTAAGTTAATTTCTTTTTTTTTTAAATAGACATTATAGCATAGTGGTGACAAGGACAGGCTCTGCAGCTTCAGAATCTTGGAGAATTACCTAAATTTGCTGTATGCCTCAGTTTCTCTATTTGTGCAATGACGATAAATGGCTTTTGTGAGGATTAAGTGCGTTCAATCATGTAAAGCCCTTCAAATAATACCTGGCGTGGAGCAATTGCCCAGGAAACAGGTGCTCTTATTCATTCGTTCAGGTGCAGTTTCAATGTCCTGTCCTCAGAGAGGTCCTTTTATGATGCCAGCTGCCCCAGACATGGTTAGGTCTCCCTGGTGGATGTGCCCATGGTCCACTGTACATATCTCTATCTCCCTTATCACGATTATAGTAATTTAATGTAACCCTGAAATTACAGCTCCTCCAATGCTGGGCTGTCTTGTTCTATCTTTCTCTAACAGTTAAACACAGTGTTTCAACGTATATAACTAAACAAAGTAATACATATGCCACACACTGCTAAACATGGGGATTCAAAGATATCATCATACTCAGTAACACACACATACACACCCACATACACCAAGCTCTGTTAACTGAGTTCTAACATTCATCATTTAATGTAGTCCATATAGAAAAGCAATACCCTGTTAAACATAGTGCGTCACACAGATATTACTATAGTGAGTTATTCACGCACCTTGCTCTGTTGAAATAGTTTCAGCATGCATCCCTAAAGAAGTCTACATGTAGTATGTGTTGCTAAACAGTGTTTCATGCAGATATCACTGTAGTGAGTCATTCGTGCACCTAGCTGTGTGAAGCATAGTTTCAAATATGCCACTAAAGAAAGCAATACATGCACCCACACTGCTAAATACAGCATTTCACAGATATGTCACTATACTCAGTACACATGCCTCAAGCTCTGTAAACAGAGTATCTTTTACGGGGCATATTTGGGAAGGTGAGAGTCAGTCTATTCCAGAGGCCACCGCTACTCTGTCTTGCTTGTGCCTTCTTGCTTCTCCCATTTCCACTTCATTTTGCAGCCTGCAATTCCTATGGACTATTTCCGTAGTCCAAGGGGTGAACACACATGCTCTCACAGGAAATCCACTTATGGGTTCACTCCAGTGCTTAATAACTTTTATTGTGCAGGGCCTAGAGCCCTGCACAGCCCCAGTCTTCACAGAGAACATCCTCACCTTCACACCTTCTCTGTGCAGATTCCCACTCAGCTTTAGGGAGAGTCGTCAGAAGAATCCATTCCTTCCCCTAGAACCTCGAACAAGGCTTTGACATTCCTAAGTCCATTCCCTATCCCCCTGCTGGGAAGGGCTCTTTTACAGGCCTTCTCTTTCCAGGCGATCCAATGGGAAATTATTAGGAAGAGACAAGGCCTCCATATGAACATACGTGCAGCCCCAAAGGACAAATATAAATTCTCCAAACAGAGTTGTCTGAGTCCTCTTTAAAGGAGAGAAACACTTCCTGACTCCACAGCGATCAGCCCAGCTGACCCAGGAGGTACTGGAGGTAGCAATTTACTCTGCTATGCAGTGCTTTGTCAGTTCCCCTTTGTTCATTTTAATGCTTTCATGACTGTGCCCGGGAGGCCTGTAGGTGCATAAGAAATGGGAGCCATTACTGGGTTGTTGGACTTTTAATAGCCACCACTTAGCTACACAAACACCTGGCAGAAGCTTTGAATGGAAAGGGATTCCTTTGTCTTGCCTCTTTTGAACGTGGTCAGTTTGCTAGGCAGGTTCCTCAACTGTAGTCTCAGTCTGATGAAGGGGGTCCAAAGTGAGGACTCAGTATCCTCTAAGAAACTGCCAGGGGTAGAGCTGCTGATGGGACAGCACAGGGCTGCTCTTGAGTTTACTTATAAAATGATTTGAATAACATTTATTTTTGCCTCAGACTGGAAGCTCTGTTTGTCCCCATATCCTAGTTCCTGGCACATAGTAAGTGCTTGATGAATATTTAGTCAAGGAATGAAATTTTCAGAAGTGTGATTAACTGCTCACATACTTAGATAAGTTATGAGAGAATTCAGAGAGCTCAAGTGGCAGGCTACAATTTGAGCAGAAAGGAGACCAACCGAGTTCACTTTACATTAAGGACCATGCAGTTAAGGACCCTAACTAGGAGATGAATTTGTATAGAATTTGTCTTGCCAGTTACCATTGGTCCAGGTGGGAAGTCCGCGTCTTGAGGCAGAGGGCTGAAACCCAGACAAAGACTCAAGTATTGTGAAGTGGTGACTTTCCCAGGGATCACATGGAGGAAACAGGTGAGTTCTAGAGGCCTAAATAAGCACCCTGGTAGGGAAAATGTCCTGAGGAACATGGAGGTGAGATACTGGCAATCGGAACTTCCTCCGCTCAGAGCAGATGGGCAGAAGGAAGCAAACCAACAAACCTCAATGAACTTAACAAAAGAAGTCACCTCTTCACACATCCAGAATATGGATCTGAAATACAAAAGTATGAGGGCTGAGCAGCATGCAAGTAACTGGCAGTAACCTTTGAGTAAATATCTTTTTAACATAGAGGCTCTGCATTCTGCCTAAGGCCAGAACAAGGCTCCAGGGGTTGATGGGAAAGAACCCTCAAGTGGGTTCAGGAAATGAACTTGGCTCAGGGAAAGTTTACAAACTAAGGTCTGGATGCCAAGCTGTTCCTGACAGCAGAGGATGATAAAATCAAAAAGAGTGCCTGCATTATTTTGACCTCCTGGACACAATCCCTTCATTCCTCTTTGTGTTCCTTTGCTTTTGCTCTTCTCTTTCTTCCATTCTTTCTGTCAATTCCATTCTATTATTTTTCCTCCTACTTTTCCTCCTCCTCTTGTTCTTCTCCTTCTCTTATTCTTCTCCTTATTCCTATTCTTATTCATATTAAGCAGATAATAACTGAATACCTCTTTGTCATACAAGATTCTCACATTACCATTATTTATCTGAAGCCCAGCTCAAGACCCAAGACTGGTAGGTTCTGAGATGTCTTTCTGATCCTGACACCATTCTCATGTTTTAGTTTTTATCTTTGGAAGTTATAATTCTTTTTTTTTGGTCCCATTGCCATGACCTCAATTACCGACACTTTCTAAACTTTCTAGAATTCATTTATGCCCATTGCAAGCTTTTAAGAACAAGGTCTATTTCCTTGTTAGACCTTATCATCCATTCATTCATTCAAAGCATCTGTTGAGTGCCAGATCTGTTCTAGGTGCTTGTGTAATCTATAGATTTATTGCTTTCAGAAAGATAAGCACAGAAAACATATTTATTAATAACATCTTAGTCTGTCCAGGCTGCTGTAACAAAATACCATATACTAGGTAGCTACTAAACAACAGAAATTTATTTCTCATAGTTCTGGGAGCTAAGAAGTCCAAGATCAATGGACCCGCAGATTCAGCGTCTGGTGAGAGCCCACTTCCTGGCTCTTACATGGCACCTTCTAGCTGTTTCCTCACGTGGTGGGAGGGGCTAGCTAGTCCTCTGAAGTTTCTTTTATAAGGACACTAATCCCAATCATGAGGTCCCTGCCTTCATGACCTAATCACATCTCCAAAGGCTCTACCTCCTAATACCATCACCTTGGGGATTAGGGTCTCAACATATGAATTATGGGGGGACACAAACATTCAGACCAGAGCAGTCAGATATCTTTTTAAAAAGAATGAAAGAGGACAGTGTTTAATATTCTCAATGCTGATTAAGCAACCAAACACAGTGCAATTTTATTTTAGGACTGATAGTTGGTCTAGCCTAACTGAATTGGGTTTTTCCAGCACTTTTTGCACAGCCTCAAATTTAGCCTTCTGATACCTTTTCAACTGACAAGGAAGTTAGCTGTTCTTGCTAAAGGTCATCATCATTGCAGGCTGCTGTAGTTTATTGCCCTTAACCTGGCAGAATTCCCTTTAACAGGTTCAATTTTCATAAAGTCTTTTCTGCTTTTTTGGAGCAGCCATAATTTAGTGCCCCCAATTAATTGAGGGAGCTAAAATTTCATACATAGTTAACTACATCTTCAATCAGTATTTGGTGCCTAGAAAATAAGTCCCCAGTGGACATTTGCCCCTGCAAGTCATGTTGCACTGAAAAAATTGTGCCTGTTCGCAGACTGTTTCTCCTTCAAATGTTCAAGTCAGCAATGATAGCAGTCAGCTAAGTAGAGGGTGTTTCTGAGAAAAAGAGTGCTCAATGCTACTCTGGGGTATCTGACAAAGAAATGGAAGTGACTTTAACTTCCTCCAAGTAGACGAGTCAATAGTTATTATTATTCACTCTTCATCCCATGTTAAATAAATGAGGGTCCCCAAGAAGCTATACATTCTCTTCTAATGGGTTGTTACTATTGTGTAGAAGCAGTTACTCAACCCAGTTGCTGTCAGGACCTCACCGATTATAGATGGTTCAGATATGGCAGCTCACCCTGTACCCTCATCCAAATCCCTGGAAGAAACATCTCTGAAAGGTTTGCACAGATTTCTGACTGGGATGAACACTTCAGCAAAGGAGAGACAGAGTCCTGTCCCTTTGGAGGAGTCAAGAGTCCCTTTTGGAGTCAGGAGGTCTGGGCTCTGGACTCAACTCTGCCATTGATTCCTTGTGTGAGCTTGCACATGGCTTTTCCCCAAATCCTGCATCTGTTTCCCCCACTCCAGATCTTTGATTGTTGCCTGCTATCACTACACATTGCAGGAGAATTGAAAACAGGTATCTACTCAACAAATGTCCATAGCAGAATTATTCATAATAGTCCAAAAATAGAAACAACTCAAATGTCCATCAACTGGTGAATGAATAATCAAAAATGCAGCATGTCCGTATATTAAAAACTTATTCAACCAATAAACAGGAATGAAGTACTGATACATGCTATGGTAAAAATTAACCTTGAATACATGATGTTAATTATGCTTATTGAAAGAAGCCAGAAACAGAAGGCCACAAACTGTATGATTCCACTTATATTAAATGTCCAGAATAGACAAATACATAGACACTGAAAGAAGATCAATGGTTGTCAGAGGCTGGGGGAGGGAGAATGGAGAATGACTGCTTAATAAATACGGGGTTTCCTTTTGGGGGTGATGAAGGTGTTCTTGAATTTGTTAGTGGTGAGAGTTATACAACCTTGTGAATATACTGAAAACCACTGAATCATGCATTTTAAAATAAAAGAATCACCATAATAGCTTGTTTGAATTATGGATTCCAGTAAAGAGTGGAGACCAGATCATCTATATTTTTAAGAAGTGGCCAGGTAACTCTAACGGTCAGACAAGTTTATAATGACTTTTTATTAAGGGCCCTATCCAGCTCTACTATTTTACTACTTGCTGTTCAGATTATTCATTTGTTCATCCATGCGCCATTCACTGTGCACTTGAATAAATGTATCAGACAGCTCGTGGTAAAGATATGTGGAATAGACAGTTCTCACCCTAGTGAAACATACATCTAGTGCTTTGGTTACAAGAAATGTTTCTAAATGCCTTTTAAATTTTAATTCACATTCTATTAAACAACCAAACAAACTACTATAGAGAGCTCAGCACATCTACTTAATAAAACATTTTTTAGATGGAAAACGAGAATCATGATGTTGAAGAGTAGCTTCTCACCAAATTACCCTTCTTAGACCTAGTCCTGCAGGGTCTATGACTAACTTCCAGAATCCCTTTGGTTAAATTAATAACCAAGACACTCAATGGTCTTTTGGAGCGCAATAATATGGAAGACTCCATACTGAGACATCATTTCTGTGGCAGCTCTAGTCCATGGCAACACAGAAGGCTGAACACATTCAAGGTTTGGGGGAAAGCCTTTCTAACTCATGAATAGGAGGGGGCCTCACAGCAGATGCCTCTCTTGGCACTAAGAAAAAAAGCTGCTTCTCACACTGTCACTTGCTGTCATAAAGCCTAGAAAATTCTGTGATTGGCCTTGAAAAAGAAATGAAACCACTATACAATGGTGTGATTGAAATTTCAAAAAGGGTGCCACACTAATTAGTGCTTATGATTCGGAGACAAATTGCTTGAAATGATGCTGATGTTTTTGAATGCAATAGAAAAATGTATATTCTCAATCAAGAGTAGGCTCTCGAAAAGGTTTTTTTTTTTTAATTGAATTGAAAAAAATAGGAGGGTTCATAAAAAGAGGTAGCAGAGCAAGATTCTCCCATGCACACTTTTAGAATTATGGCAGATCCTGCTACTGCCTATCTTCTGTGCATTCAGGGAGCTTCAATGTCTTCAAAGTGGTCTCTCCATACCAAGAGGAATGAGATTTGATGAAGAGGGAAGAATGATGCAACCAAATCATTCACTTTCCTGCAAAAATATTTCTACTTTGGATAGAGACAGAGAACACCATCCATTTTTTAAAACTAGAATGCTGGGAGCTTCGTGAGACTCTTTTGTTCAAGCCTCCAGGCCTCTTAGCGCAACTAGGTGGGGCACACCTGGAATAGAAAGCCCTATGGAGGGACTTCTGCCTATCTGGCTGGCTGCAGCAGATACTCCCACTTACTCCTCTCCTCCCCTCTTTTTTCTCCCCTCATATCCTCTTCCCTTTCTGTCTGTCACCCTTTGTCTACCCTGCCTCAGGCTTTGTTCTAGGTTCTGCGGAACCAGAGATAAGTTAGCCTTGTTCTTGTCCTAAGGGAGCTCACAGCCAGTGAGGGGACACAGACAGCAGACATATGAATACCAGGCCAAAAAAATTCCCGTTTCAGAGGTGTGCATAGGAGGGAGCAAGTACTGGTAGCTTCGCTCGGTAGTGGTATGGCAGAGTAGATGGGCAGGGGCCAGCAAGTCTTCCCTGGGGAGAGGAGAACGATGAGTCAGATGCTATGATTTCCTGCAGAAGAGAGGTACATTTTCAATGCAAAGGGCTTTGACCAGTCCACATGTTTGTGGGAAAGTAGGAGGAAGCCACATGAAGCCTGGACCTTTAGGTGTTTGGATGTGCCTTTTCAGGATGATGGGGTACAAAGGCTGCTGACTTCCTGATTTCCACTGGGGATGCCTGGTTTTTCTTTTCCATGTCTGGCCCTGTAATTTTGCCATTTAGTCGCAGCAAACATGCTAGGGGGTATTGCTTGTGGGAAATTTATTAAATATTTCAAGCTAAATGTGGTTAGTGGAGGATTATAGAACACTTACTTTGTTACTTTGGTTAAGGGCAGGGGAGAATCTTTTTTTTTTTTTTTAAGGAAAAGGCTACCCTGATTATCAGAACCCTATGAAATAAAATAAGGGCACCTGTTTTCTTCCTCGGAGGAAATACTTTTTAAAAAGCAAGACCCCTTCCAGATTTCTAAGGGCTCCCGGGTTCTTGAATGCTTATGAAATAAATGTTATTTTCAGGATAGAATGTGCCTGCTAAAAATCACAGACCAAGAAGGCATCTCTCTGGCTACTAAATACTTGGGCTGTGGTGTGGTGGACGTGACAGGCTAGAATTTCAGGATGAGAGACTCTTTCCTTCTTTCTTTTGTGCTTTGGGATATAACAGTGCTGGGGAGCTTGGTTATTCATGCACCCATCTTATGACAAGAAGACCATGCATGGTAGTAACCTACATTTGAGAGCTTACCCCAAGGGTGGCTTAGAGTTTAGATTGATTAATATTTGTTCAGATATTATCTAATGGAATCCTTGATTTTGTAGAATGGGGAAAATTAGAGAAGGACAAGCCCTGTAATGTTTCTTTATGGAATTGAGGCTGTCCAATAGGTCTTTTATGTCTAGTTTAAGTTCACCACACGTCGTCACTTATATATACATTATTATTTTCCTGTTTAGCGTATAAAATCTAAAGAAATGGTAATACAGCCATGAGATATTGCAAGTAATCTGGTGATGAGAAAAACAGAGACATATTGCTTATTTCTCACTTTTTTCTGATGTTACTGAATGCCCTTCCCTTCTCTAGTTGTTTCCTTGTGATTTTGTGCCACAGTTTAGCACTGCACAAGTCCTAATTCTGCAATACGGTTTGCTGAGTATCTCTAGGTGTGGAGAATAGAGCTGAAATAAAATGTATTTGTAGGCCATAGTTAACTCCTACTTGCTCGTGCACAGAGATGTAGTGCTGAATAGGACATGGGCTTTGGAGGGAGGAGAAGTTGCATAAGAACCACAGTCTTGCCCTACAGGTAACAAATACTCACAGAGCAGCTGCCATTTTTTCACTTATTAGGTAAGTGAACTTGAATAACATGTTTAATTTTTCCAAACCATGGTTTTGTCATCTGTAAAATGGGAATAATCACTCCCATGCTCAAACTCCTGCACTGTCTTCCAATCACACTCGGAATAATATCCTGGGCCTTTACCATGACCCTAGGCAGGGTTTGCAAACTATCCTAAAGAGAAGAATCACCCGAATCACCCAGAGTTTTTGTTAAAACTTTTCAATTTTGTGCCAGAAGACTGGCACTCTCTCAAATACTAGTCTTGTATTAATTATTGGTGATTTCAATACCGACATGGACGAAATTCAAACACCTTGGCCTCTCAGTTCCTTGACTTCCTCCTCTTCTCCTGTGACCTTCTTCTCTACCCCCTCAGCCAGTCACTCCCATGGCATACTTTAGCTCTTCTCATTACCAATAACTACAACTCCCACAAACTCAATGTCATCTATCCTATTCTCTTTCCACCACTTCCCATCTTTCTGGCTCATTCCATCTAATGCTCTATCTCCAGTCATCACTTCAACCATGGCGGACCGTACAATTGATTGATCCTACAAACTTTTCACTCTGATGTCCCCTCTTCCCTCCTTAATTGCATGGACAAGCATTTTAATTGCTTCCTATACGTAGCCTCAACTCTCCTGCACCCCTTTCACTTTGTTTAGCAAAACCACAATCTCAGTTAAATCTGTCTCTCTGCCTACTTTGCACTGTACTTGTGCAGTCAGTCATGACTGGGAAAAAACCCGCAACTATGCTGGCTGGTATCACTCTGAATTCATGACCATGAACCTCAAGTGGACCCTTAATGCTGCTCAGCAATTGTAAAAGGTTTGTCAGCTTCTTCTACTCTTCCACTCTCCAAGATGACTATTACATACCTTTTCTACTAATCAAGCTTCCACCTCCTCCTTTCTATATTCATTTTCAGCTGATAAACATGCGTCCTATTATTCACTGAGAAAATCGAAGCAATCAGAACAGTTTACTCACATTCCTTCCACTATATCTACCAACCTGCCTTCCTTCCTGTTAACTTAATGAGCTGTTAGTGCTCAATCTAATGGTGAGTTCATTGTCCTTATCTTATTTGACCCAGCAACAGCTTGTTGACACAGTTTACCATTCCTATCTCTGGGACACCCCCAAACTCTTGGTTTACCTTCTACTTCACTAGTTGCTCCCCACCAATCTCCTTAAACTACTTTGCTGGCTCCTCCTCACCTCCCCATTCTCTAAACACTGGAGTTGCAGAGTCAGTCCTTAGACTTTTCCGTCTATACTTATTTCCTTGGTGTTGTCATCCAGTTTCATAGATTTAAATAGCATCTATTTGCTGGACAACTCCCAAATTTATATCTCCAATCCAGACTTGATCAGCCTATATAAAAACAATGCAGCTTACCTGCATCCACAGCACTGGGCAATTCCACTTATTGGGTTATGTTTTGTTTGTTCCTTTAGCATGTAGCTATATCTAATGTACGATGTCATTGTTTAAAAGCCATAATCTTGCTCTGTCATCCAGGATGGAGTTCAGTGGTGCAACTACAGCTCACTGGAACCTCGAACTCCTGGGCTTAAGTAATCCTCCTGCCTCAGCCTCCAGAGTAGCTGGGACTACAGGTGTGTACCATCACACCCGGCTATATCATTTTTAAACATGTTTATTTTCTGTCTTCCCCTATTAGAACATAAGCTCCATCTAGAACATAAGCTCTTTTGTTGGTGTGTGGGTTTTTTTTTTTTTCTGATGTATTCCTAGTGCCTAAAATGCTACTTTCCATGTAGTAGGTGATGAGACTATTGAATCAGAATTTCCTTGGAAAAGCCCTGGCAATTTGTATATTTGACACGGGTCCAAGGCGATTACCTTATATTGGGGAGGTTGGAGGAAAGAGTTCTGGCCTAATTAAACTTTTCATTGTCTGCCCCCTCCTAATCTGCTTGACCTAATTTTAGCTACTCTGTGTACTGCCCATGTTGTTTTACCACATTGGTCTTTTCATGATTCTTATAACATGCCAAATATCTTCAGACCCCAGGACATTTGCACTTGCTATTCTCCCTGCCTGGAATATTCTTTGCATGACTTTCTATATCAGTTTATTAAGGACAATATTTAGTTTGTTTGGTTTAATTTGGTTTATTCAGAACTGATAAATATTTAGGGCTGTGCTTGAAACACCCTCCAAGAGGCCTTTCCTCCTCCCATCATTCTCAATCCTCTACCTTTTTTCATAGCACTTAGCACTACCTGGAATTAGACAATACTTTTTTTTTTTTTTGTCTGTCTGGATTACTGTGTGAAAGTAATAATAGCTAACACTTGACATCTGCCAGATACTATTAAAAGTACGTTGCATATAATAATTGTTTTAATCTTTACAACAACTCCAATGTTGTAATTTTACCATATCCATTTTGTGGACATAGAAAACTGAGGCACATGGAGATTAAGTAACTAGCTCAAGGTCATACCACCAGTAAGTAGTACAGTTTGTGAATCTGGCTCCTGAATCTGCCTCTTGTTAGTTGACTTGAAGATAAAGAGGTTTGTCTATTTTCTTTACCATTGTATCTCCAGGGCTTAGAACAGTGCTAGGCACATAGTGAGTGTTCAATAATAGTTAAATATTGAATCACTATGGCTTGTATTAGTCTTTTAGGGCTGCTATAACAAAACACTGTTTTGTTTTTTTAAAAAATACACCAGACTGGGTGTCTTATACATCAGAAATTTATTTTCTCACAGTTCTGGAGACCAGAAATTCAAGATCAAAGAGTCTGCAGGTTTGGTCTCTCTTGAGGCCTCTCTTCTTAAATTTACAGATGGCCACCTTCTCTCTGCATCTTCACATGGCCTTCCCTCTGTGTGTGTCTGTGTCCTAATCTTGTTGTTTTATCAAGACACCAGTCCTTTTGGAATAGGGCCCCACCCTTAAGGCTTCATTTAACCTTAATCACCTCTTTAAAATCCCTATATTTAATTATACTCACATTTGGCATTAAGGTTTCAACATATGAATTTGGGGAGAGGTATAATTCAGTCCATAACAGGCTGAAGCCCAGTTCCTAGAGAATCAGGATACCAAAATCAGAGTTGCTGCCAAAGACCAGAGATGCCAGGGAAGAGAGAAATTCATGTGCCATGTACTCCATTGGTTTTCAAACTCGTGTGTGTGTGTGTGTGTGTGTGTGTGTGTGTGTGTGTGTATGTGTCTGAACCCATTTCTCAAAAGAAATCTTCCATCTTCTATGGAAGCCTATTATAGCAAGCATGGAAACAGGGGTTCACTGTTGGAAGCTGAGGTGGAAGGCTGGATGGACCCCAAGCACTCACTGGGGACCCACAGACCATGGAGGTCTCTTGACCAAATCTCAGCACCTCACTTTACAGAAAACACTTTTGAGTCTATAAAGGAGCTAGAACACTCTCTACATTCCCCATGTCTAGCAACAGGCTTGATCTCAGCTCGAAGAGAAAGCCAGAATGTCTAGGTCAGCATTCACGGGCTCCAGCAGGAAGCCTGGAAGCTTTGGCAGCAGGGAACCAGGCTAGGCCTTAAACCAAGAGAGTTTAAGTTTAAGGTGGCCATCACAACTATACCAGGTGTAGTTGGGAGGCTCAACCTCATCCCAATCAAAATAATGACCACGCTGCTGCTGCCTTTGTATTGTTGGCAACTCATCATCTTAAATGAGAGGTTTAGGCTGTTTGAATGAGACAAAATCCTGCAGTTAAAGTTCTCTGATTGTATAGATCTATATAGCCTTCCTTCTAACGCACTGGAACTGTTGAAAACACTATAAATCACTCCCAAATGCCTGAATTCAAATATTATTTCAGTATGCAAATTACAGTCATAAAGCATAATGAAGCACATTTGAATATCAAGTACAAAAGTCACCATATAAATATAAAATAGGAGTGAATGAATGTGGTCAGCGTTTTATTTTATAAATGCAGTTTGCCTCCTGAAGACTTTAAAGAGCTTCTGACCAATACTTGGAGAGCCCAGCTGAATTCCATAACCAGGAATTTTATTTTTCTAACTATGAAGGAGGCAAGAATATGAATGTGTGTGTGTGTGTGTGTGTGTGTGTGTGTGTGTGTGTAATTTTGTCCTGTTTTCCATATTTCTCCATACTGTCCTATTTTTAAGTAGGCTGTCTAGCTTGGCCATTCCTTGCCTCAAGGATTTTTTCAGGTTTGAAGTCAGATATATGCCCTGGACTACCTTACTGGAAGGGCTATGAAGATGGAAGAACTCAGGGGAATGGCCGCAAGGGTCATGTAGAAGAGATGCCTTACTGAAGAGTCAGGGCCTCAAGTAACAGAGCTATAGCCCTGAAGGGCCCATGACGACTAAGACAATATTTTTCCTAAGAAGAACCAGCTTCATGACCTGGAGTTCTCCTCAATGCTTTGGTGTCGTCTAAGTCCCTGGGGTTTTTGTATAATCACAGGTGTGGTAGAGTCCCCACCAATGACTAAGTTTAGACAGCCTACCATTCCAAAAGTCTAGGACCTCAGAAGTAGAGTTAATATGGTTTAAACAAAATGTGTGTATATATATAATATATAATATATGTATTATATATAATGTATATTATATATGTATTATATATAATGTATATTATATATTATATATGTATTATATATAATATATATGTGATATTTCTTTGACTTAACCCAAACTTGTGTCCAGCCCAGAATATAAATGAGAATGAAGGCCTCATCTTTGTCAAATGCCTTGCTTCTGCTCTTTTCTTCCTTCTCAACGGTTGTATCCCATTACATCTTTTAAATTACATAGATAATAGGAGAGTACATTCTTGTTAAATAAGATTCTGAAATTTCAGTTGCTTCAGTCAAGATCCAGTTCAAGATTTCTATTTTGTAGGAGGTCTTTCCCATCCTTATTTCTGTCTAATGACTTAACTCTGTCTTATTAGTACTTCAGATATTAGTTTGTTTCCCATGACCAGGACTCATTATTGATCACTTAAAGATATTCTAGAGTTTCATTTATTGTAAATTTTATCTGAGTAGATTACCATTTCTCAGGGGAAAGGGTTATATAAGGGCCTTTATTTCTTTGATAAAACTCATGCTCAATTCAGGCTGGGCACGGTGGCTCATGCCTGTAATCTCAGCACTTTGGGAGGCCGAGGCAGGTGGATCACGAGGTCAGGAGATCGAGTCCATCCTGGCTAACACGGTGAAACCCCATGTCTACTAAAAATACAAAAAATTAGCTGGGCATGTTGGTGGGCACCTGTAGTCCTAGCTACTCGGGAGGCTGAGGCAGGAGAATGGTGTGAACCCGGGAGGCGGAGCTTGCAGTGAGCTGAGATCGTGCCACTGCACTCCACCCTAGGCGACGGAGCAAGACTCCATCTCAAAAAAACAAGCAAACAAACAAAAAAACTCATGCTCAATTCAATAACTCAAAGCATTTGCAGAGTGCCAAATTCTGTGCCAAACAATGTATCAGGGATTTTTAAATTAATGAACAGATTAATTGCTTTTGGAATGAGAAGGTTCTGACCAGATTTAGAAGAGGAGAAACTCAAAGACATAAGCGCTGAAACTGCATAACCTTCACTGACCTTGCAGTCACTCCCTTTGCACTTGGATATGAAAGATTCTATGGTTCTCAGCTTTAGGAAAACTACACTTATCCCTGCACCATTCTCTGTCTTTTTCTATTTGTCTGAAACCAATTCTCTGTGCATTGTTAAAGACAGCCCTATCCATTAAGAAATGTATCTTCACTGGTTACTCTAGTGTATTGTTTGGGTCAGCATAGATTTTCTCAAAATGTGGCCCAGTTCTCTAGGGTGCTTGATAGAATGCAGATTCCTGGGCCAAGTACTAGACCTTCAAAATAATATTTGCGATGAGCCTGAAAATCTGTATCATAACTTATCTACCCCAGGTGATTCTGAAGTAGTATCTGAGAGCCGTATCTCTAGTACCTCTGCGGCCACTGTGGTGAATTCCATCTTGGTTCTCAGTGTCTTCACTTCATCCCATCTTCCTTAATCACGCAGAGAAGTCTGTCTCCTCTTTCTGAATGGCTCTCTCTAGTTTGAAGAATCAGTTCTTCCTTAGATGCAAAGCAGATATGCCTAACAAAAACTGAGCTCAGTGGCCGCCCCAGCCGATCATTTATTTAACCATTTCTATTGTCCAATTTTCGGCAATTCTCCACTAATTCCAGAACCTAGATGTCTTCAGGGTGTCATCTTCCATAAACTTTCATAATTTGAGCTGTATCATAATACCTTAAATGAACGTTAGTAGTGGTGTCGGCAACAATTCCACCAATGAAAAAGGAAGTTATGTGTACATTCAAAGTGATGTACACACACAGAAGCTGTTTCCCACATACTCAAAATATTAAACATGTGTATTAATTCCAGTGGTATTTATTGTTCATTTTTACATACTAGATGCTATGCTAGGCAAAGGCTAAAAAGTGTTAAGAAATAATTTTCATCTCAATAGAGTTTAACAATGCCATAGGTGTTAAGACTTTTAATTGAGCAATTCTTATGTGTGGTCTGTATCTTCCCATTCTAGAGCAAGTGGTCAGGGGAACCTCTAGCTTTTTATTGGTGTTTGGCTGCTCAGCTTCCAACAGAGAAGGGTGAAAATGAAAGAAACCACTTATTAAGCCAATATTTAATGAATACCAGGCACTGTTCAGGGTCCTGGGGACACAATGGAAACGAAAAGAGGCATGGTTATTGCCCTCTTGGAACTGACAATCTAATGGGAGATACGGGCAATAAATACTTAAATGAACAGATGAAATTCATATTGTGAAATGCATAAACTCAGTGAAATGTCATAGTATATTCTAGGGTGGGGTGGGGTAAAGCAAAGATAAAGAGAAGTAGATGGATTCAGGATATGTTTTTGAAGTAGAGCTATCTATCCAAGGTTGCTGATAGTTTGGATGTGGTGGCATAAAAGACCAAAAGTAATCAGTGATAACTCCTAGATTTCTGATTTATGCAACTGAGTGGATGATGGTGCTCTTTATTGGTATGAGAAAGATGAGGCATATAACATCGGTGGTAGATGTGCTGAGGACCTAAAAGCTCTAAATTAGATATGTTATAATTGACATGTTCTATGAGAAATGCAAGAGTATATTTTGACATGTGAGCATAAAATTCAGGGAAGGGCCAGGGCTGGAAATATAACATTGGTAGTCATCAGCCTAGATGTAGGCTAATTTAAAATTCCTGAGAACAGAATATGGATAGAGAAGAAAGAGAAACCAAAAGCTTAAATTTTGTTTTGAAGAGACACTCAAACTCACTAGTTAACTAGGAAATATAAATTAAAACAAGAATGAGATCATCCAATGGACAAGAAGACTCAGAAAAGTGAAAAATGCCAAATTTTGGTGGGGATGTGGCATCAAGGAGCCCTCATGTACTGTTGTTGGCAAGTGGAGACTGGAGCAGCCATTCTAGTGGGCAACCTGGTAGTACTCAGCCAAATTAAACACCCACTCCATGACCTCGTAATCCAGTTCCTGGGATTATAGCTCAAAGGAATATTCACATGGGCCAAATGGGGGACATAAGCAAGGATGTTCATGGAAATTTTGACAATCAAAAAGTGGTGGTGAGTTGGAGATAATTTGTGCATCTCCAACTGAAGGAGAGGATGGGCAGGATGTGGCGTGAGTACTATGCCATGCTCAGTAGTGGACCAAAGGGATCTAACTAGTGCTCAGTAAAAAAAAAGCCTGCCACATATTATGCAATGCCATTTATGTAAGGTAAAATATATGCATACAGGTAACTATGTGAAATGATGGATATGCTAATCAACTTGATTGTGGTAATCATTTCACAATGTATACATATACCAAATATGTTATACACTGTAAATATATATAATTTTTTATTTGGCAATTATACCTCAGTGAAACTGGAGAAAAACATGCACATGAAATGACTCTCTGTTTCATAAGAACAGCTACAAACAAAAGGATATACATTGATTATATGAGAATGGTTATCCATGAGGCCAAAGGGAAATGGGATTGGGAGTTGTCGATGAGAGGGAACAGATATATAAATAAAACAAGAGAAGGGCCTTGTGCTGTCCAATTAAAGGGCCATGATTTGAGAACTAATAAAACCCAATACACTTGAGGTTCAAATCAAAAGGAGAGAGATGAGAAAAGCAGGTACCAGACTGAAGAGCACCAGCATTTAGAGGTCAGGTGAGTTGAAAACCTGAGTCCACCAGGTAGGCTTTGTGTGCACCATGCCCTCAGACTAGATGCAAGATGTATTCACATATTTGTTTCCTGCGTGACCTCAGAGGATTCTCTCTTCTTGTTGTCAGGAATACTCAGAGGTTTCTCTCTTCTTGTCAAGAACTTCAATCCTACCCCACCTTGGCAAAGGTTTTGTAAGTTTTAACACTGGAGATATATAACACATAATTCAGAATAACCATTTCTGATTTGTTTCAGGAGACACTTTCCTTCAACTATTTAAGAATAAAAGGGGCAACAAAAATATACTGTGCCTCAGTTTTCTCAGATATGAAATGGTGATCATTTGGTTTTCATCAACTTGTGCCTGGTCTATATTGTCAGCCTCCTAACTGATTTCCTCACCTGAGAGCTCTCCTCCAGTACTCCCTTTATATTGCCACAATGATATTTATAAAGATAAAAATGGGATCGAGTTATTTCCCTCATTAAAAGTGTTGCATGACTCACCAATGTCTTCAGAAAAATATTCCCTGCCAGGAGCAAGGCAGCGTGATGTTGGAAGAAACTCAGGGGTTTTGGGGTTAGATAAACAACTTGAAAATTAACTATCTATATGACCTTAAGCAAGTTACTGCACCTCTGAGTTTAGTTTCTATACCTGTAAAATATAGACAATAATTCTCGCCTTACAGGGCAGTGGTTCTCACTATTTAGTATGTATTAGAATCACCTGGAGAGCTTGTTAAAACACAAAGTGCTGAGACCCACCACCAGAGCTTCTGATTCTTTAGGTCTGGGATGGACTTAAGAATCTGCATTTCTAGCAAGTTCCCAGGTGATGCTGATGTTACTGGGCACTTGACTACACTTACAGAACCATTATTACAGGGTATTGTGAGGACAAGAGATTATGCATGTTGAGAGCCTCCCTACTATGCTGTCTGTAAATGAAAGTTGCTATTGTTTCTTTCATGTCCCTCCAACCACTTGGTCTCCACTTCTCCAGTTTCATTGTCCACCACCAGCCTGCACACATCCTGTGTGCCAACCACAGCAAACCACTCACTGTTCCCTGAACCTCCGGTGTAGTTTTGCCCTTGGGGACCTTTGCCTGTGCTTGTCTTTCTTCCAAGAAGGTCCCCGCCCCTCCTCCCACCTATACCACCACCGCACTTTGGAAGAACTTCCTCCTCTTCAAGGCCCAGCTCAAATGCCCAGGAAGTTTCTGCACATCTTCTTCAGTTGAAATTAATTGCTCATTCCTACAACGCTTCATCCCTCTATTTGTTTATTTATTCATTTTGTAAATATTTATTGAGTATGTGCTAGGCTCCATGTTGGCTGCTGGGAATGAAATGTTGAACAAAACCAGATATTATCCGTGTTTCAAAGGAACGCAAAGTCTTTGAGGGGAAAAGAATTGTTACTCAAATAAATACAAATGCAAGTAAAATTACAATACTGACAAGCAATAAAAGAGGGAAGAACAGGCTGCTTTGAGCACTTTTAACAGAAAAAGATTTATAGAGGATTAAAATTCCCCTTTTTCTATATGAATTATTGAACTGTGTAAGGTTAGAATGGAGGAACAATACAAAAATGACTTGGGTTTGCACAGTGCTTTTTATAAGGAACTTATTTTCTGGTCTATTATGGAGATAATTTCATTAATTCTCATAATAGCATGATGTGCAATCTCACAGCTAACACATATTGAGCACATACTAAGTTCATGCAAGTATTCTAGCTAGTACCAAGGGCTGTCAAAACAAATAAGGTGTGGCTCCTACTCTCAAATTGCTAACACCGCAGTGGGAGAGGTTATATTGCACACGAGTCTCAAACCCAAGGCATAGGAAAAAAGTCTAGGAAAAGGCATCATCATCTAGTTCTCTCCTCCCCCACCAGAAGGCACATAGTGACACTTTCTCCCTTGTGTACCAGTGTTGCCCAGGATCAAGACCAGTGCCTGGTGTATGATGGACAAGTGCTATCTGTTAGGTGAATGAACACATCCCCACACTCGATGTGCCTGTTCAGGCTTCCATCATAATTGCCCTACACTGTTACAACCTGACCTTCCTGGCTTTAGCCATGCCACCTGCAAGCCATCCCCCTTACCACAGCAAAAACAACAACAACAAAAACCACCACTGTGCAACTTGCAACTCTTCTATCTGCTATTTAAAACCTGCCAGTGCTCCCTCTGCTCTTGGGAAAAGTCCATTATGTCTCATGTGGGCTATAAGGCCCTTTGTGATCTGGGTCTGATGTATATCTTCTGCCTCAGCTGCTGTCCATCTTCTGCCTCAGCTGCTGTCCAGCAGCACTGCCCCCCGCCCACCCCCTACAATGTGGTCCAGCCAGAGTGTGATGCTTGTGGTTCCTTGAATGTGCCAAACTCTTTCTCCTCTGGAAACTTCATCCCTCACTTCTGTTCCCACTGCCCACCGCTGATAAATATAAGCTAAAAGTTAAATTTCCCAACTTTGAGATAACCTGCCAATAACTTCCTTATATCCTTTCTTATATCCTCAACTTTCTATCTGAGGCTGGGAGGATGAAGTTAATTATTAATGATGATTAACAATTGGGCTAGAATTCCGGTGGTTTTACAGAACAATTGTAGCTCCTGACCTAACAACCCTATTCTCAAATTAATTTTGGAGAAATATGTGATCGTTTAATGAGTGAACACAACAGCTTCCATAGGAGATCAGGTAAAGTAATAGTGGCCTGCCCTTAAAAAACAAGCTCCCCTATTTTGTTAATCAATGAGGGACTAAGAGTGTTGTTGCTTGTGGCTCTGCTAGGAACAGACCATATCTGCACATTTTAGTTTTCCTGATTTACAAACTGAAAATCAATGTGTCCTTATTAACAGTGCTTTAGACCTTGGATGGGTCTGCCCCATAGATCCAAAGCATAGTGTAAAGGATGGCAAACTGAAGGCCATAGCCCAGTCACATGGCTGCTCCTCAAAGGAAGGCTCCAGTCTCTTAGGAAAGTCTGCATCCTCTTCCTGACATGTTGTTGACTGTTAACACCTGGCCTTTCAGTGCCATTAGAATAAACGTCATTAAAATATTGTGGCACTTCTGCTTTTAGTAGAACTAGAAAGCCGTGAAGCATGCAAACAGAGCGTGAAAATGAGAGACACCAAGGATGGTTATGAAACTTTTTCAGACCTAAGAAAAGTTTTACTTCAGTCTGCATTTTGGTTTTGGTGGGAGTCCACATGATTTCCTTCACTTAAAGCAGTCGATCCATGTCTGTTTTCTAACTAGCCTCTTCTTGGTTACATGGTTAACTGGCCTCCACAGAGCCAATTTGGGCAATTCTGACAAGGTCAGGCAGTGGAAATGTCCAGGCATAGATAGACCTCTGGTGCCCGTTGCCCATTCAAAAAAGTCAAAATGTGAAGCCTGACTTATAGACTTCTGAGCAAATGTTCAGTGAGCTGAAACACCCTGGGAGACCATGACTATATCCTATGAGGATCCTCAGGGACAAATCAGTTTGTCCTATAATATAGTTGTATGCCTATCTTCTCCATAAGCGTGTCAGTCTCTGTAAGGTGAGAATTCTGATCAATCTTTTCTCTGTCTTTCAAAATCCCTTTATTCCCTCCCCCATCCTTCTCCTGAACACGTGTACAGCTTCTGGCACAGTGCCTTACGGGACTTCAGGAAATTTCTTGAATCAAAAAATATCTTATATTCATGTTTGTGAGACTCAGCTATGCTGGCCTCTCACCACAGTTCAATCCATGTGAGGTATAAAGTAGAATACCCTAAACAGTTCTCTGGAACCTCACCCTTCTGGGGGTTTAATACTGAATTTCCGGAAGACTTCCCAAAGCACGGGCTCTGAATCCAATGGAGTAGGGAGGTTTATAAATAGCAAATTTATGCCTTTTTCTGCTAGAAGTTGCTTTTCATTTAATTAGTGAAAAAAATCAGTGTTACTATTTTTCTTACTTTCTTTTAATGATAAAAAATATAGCCATCATGTTATCCTTTTATAAGTATATTGCTGATTACATATCCTGATTCTTAATTTTTCTACTCTCTGTCATACCTGAACCCTATTTATGAAGTTAATTCATCTGAAAAAGAAATCACCCCTGCCATTTCTCAGTTCCTGCTTGTCTCACAGGTGACACATGAGTTCCTGGATACATTCAGGCAAGACCTGAAAGTATAAAATGTTCCAGGGCTGTAAATAATGTTAGGAAACCATTCTGCCACAGCCCATGGGGACAAGTAAAAGAAACCCTGGACACTGCCATTCTGGTAAGCTGCTGTCAGTTGAAATGTACACAACATTTTGTTCTCTCTGTTTCTAAGAAAGGAGTTATAAATATGAAAGGGCAAACCAAAACATTCGGACGCTTAGATAACTCTATCTCTGATGAGAATCCATGCTATCTAAAAGTAGGCTGGGAACTGGGTTAAATGAAGAGGTCCTAGAGATTCCCATTCAAGAACCCTGGAAGGACAACATGAGTAATTTTCATCTTAATTATTTATTGTTGCTCTGGATACCAAAGGCTGTTAGTAAAAACTAACACAGCAAATTTCTAAATAATAAAGTTGAGAAATTGTTGGCTTGGGTCTGAGCCGATGGTTCCTATTCTGACTGGGTCCCTTTCAAGTGAAAATCATTTGTCATATTTCAGCCTTCCATTTTCTCTAGCCAAATGTCTTGGAGTGATCCTTGAAGCCTTTCACACTCCACATCCAAACCATTAGGAAATCTTATGGGCTTTACCCTCCAAGTTATGTGTAGAATCTGACCATTTCTAACCAACTCCACTGCTAACTACCCCAATTTAAACCACAATCTACTCTCACCTGGATGATAAATAGCCTCTTTCTTTGATCTGTGGGTTTACACATTTTATCACAATTGAAAATTAATTGGCTATTAATTTATCAAATAGTTTTTCTTCCCTCTCTTTCTTCTTTTTTGGGGGCTTCAGTTACGTATGTATTAGGGCACTTGAAGTTGTCCCACAGCTCACTGACACTGCTTATTTTATTTGTTTATTTTTAATTCCTTTGTCTCTGGGTTTCATTTTGGACACTTCCTATTTATATATCTAACAAATTTATTAATTTTTTCTCATGCAATGCCTAATCTGCTGTTAATCCAAAATCCAGGTTACATTTTATTTTAGTCATCATCATTTTCATCTATTGAATTTCAATTTGAATCTTTTTGCATTTTCCATCTTTACTATGTTCAGTCTTTCCTCTGGCTTCTTGAGCATATGGAATATATTTTTAATATTTTTACCTACTAGTTCTATCATCTGTGTTAATTCTGGGTCAGTTTCAATTGATTGAAGTTTCTCTTTATTATAGGTGGTATTTTTCTTCTTCTTTGGATGTCTGATAATTTTTGATGGGATGCCAGACTTTTTTTTTTTTTTTTAGCTTGTAGGATATTGTATATTTTTATTTTCCTGTGGATATTCTTGAGCTTTATACTGAGACATAATTGCATTCCAACTTTTTGGGGGACTGAATTTGTGGTCACTAACCTTCATGGTACCCATAACCTTGCTACTAGACAACTTGTGTTACTGTGGAGTTTGGTACTTAGAAACAACTATCTACAAACTACTCCATGAGGTCTCCCTTGATGTTCATATATAGTGCTTGTTTGTCACTTTTCACATCTTGAGTTGGGAAGCTTTATACTGCTATTGACACTAAGCCTTCCCTAAGACTCACAACAGTAAGTCCTCACTTAACATCATTGATCAGTTGTTGGAAACTAACTTTAAGTGAAATGACACACAGCAGATTTTCAAGTAACATAATTTCCTTCAACACCGTTTTCTGATAATGTTGATTTTAAAAATTTGTTTTGTTATACATCATTTCACTTGAAGTCAATTTCCAAGAACCTATTGAAAATGTTAAGTGAGAACTTGCTAGACTTTACTCGTGTCCTTTCCATCTTTGTTTCTCCCCCACCTTGTTATACCCATTCCCACCCCAGGCCCACTGTCCTTAAAATTGTTTGGGGCCCTGGCCTGTGATTGTTAATGAGCGTGGCTAAGGGCCTTCTAGATTTACACTCGGTGATACTGTACATGTAGGCATCTGATAGCCCCCTAATGGCCCAATGACATCAGGAGTATCCTTTTCAATTAGAAAATTTAAGGCATCATTAAACAAACAAAAAACTTGACGTAGACATGTTAATACAAAGAACATGATTATAAGCAGGATTTTCCAAATTTCTAGTGAAAATCTATTTTGCTTGCTTCTGATGCATCTATAATATAGCATAATCAGTACTTTTAGTATGAATTACAACTTAAATACATGTCATTTTCAAGTAGATGCAGACCATGTTTGTTAGGGGAGGAATAAATGATGACAAATGGAATTGGACCATAGCATTTCCTGAATCCAGACTATTGAAATCTGCTCTAAAGTGTTAAGAATTAGGTGGTACAAATGTATTCCCTCTTGAAAAGCTTTTGTTGTATAATTTCTATGTGGGGAAAAAAAGAAGGATAGATGACAGCTAATATATTTTTGCAAATGAAAACAGCATCTAGAGTCTGCCTGAGGAGAAATTGTCTATGAAGATCATATTTCTGAATAAAAACAGGATTTCCTTTGTGGTTTAATTCAATGAGCAATTATGGTAAAACATCATTAACTCAGATATACTCATTTTCAATATGTGATCTTTTGGACACGGTGGACAGAAGGTTATTTTGTCTAGAAAATTTCTTCTTCATTTTTTTAAAAGATAATTCTTATCACTGCAATTTGTTTGGCCATTATCCATAACTTTGTCTTATTAGGTCCCCGTCCTTCTTTGTCCTTTTATACTTGTCACCATCCCAGCTACCCACAGTTCCATGCAGTTCATTTGTGGCTCATGTTCTGATCCTGATCTCACAAAGCAGAAATCCCATGAATTAACTGGGTAATGATCCTTTACCTGTGCATAGCACTTCTCACTTTATAAAAAATTTTATTTTTGTATTTCACTTAATCTTCATAAAAGGCTATTTTTCTCCCATTTTACAGATATGAATATTGAGGTTCAGTGTAGCAGTCATTAATACTGTTCACCACATGTTTCTACTTCTCCTCCTCCTATACAGATGCTAAGATGGCATTTCCTGGCTTCTTTATGGTTTTGTGGAGCCAGATGACTGAAAACAATGAGTGGTTAGTGGCAGTAACATGTACCACTTCTGGGAAGAGCAATTAATTGTCAATATCATACCCTCCAGAGTTCTCTTTTCTATTTGCCACGGGGACTGCCAATGTTTGCTATAGTAGCTGCTAAGTGACTACAACGGGCATGGAACGTGAGCTATGCTGGTATTTCCAAAAATGTCTTTGAGCTAAAAGAGTTAATTTTCTGTGCCACTGTTTGTCCAAGTCACTAAATACTAAGGTGCACTGCGAATCTGCAGGAACAAATAGTATGCAAAATTTTCCAAAATTATTTTACCAGAAAAAAAGCTATCTTTTCTTGTATAAGAACTTGCAGCATTAGCATTCTGCAGAATACACTTTGGGAAGACTTGTACTAGGCCCTCCTTCTGCTTCTGTTCATGCATGTTCCTTCATCTTCCTCAGGTTAAAGGCCTTGGTTAGAGATGTGGTTAGGGAAGTTTGGTGGAGGTCTAGAGGGAAATTAGAATTAGATTGAAGATCACTTACCAGCAAGATCAGCATGAGCTAGGCAGAGGGTGGTGGCCACTGAGAGTATCTAAAGAAGCAAGCGCAAGGCCAGCTGTGGGTCCAAGCCCAGTGTGAATAGTGAAGAGGAAAAAAAGGGCAGTTGCCTAGAGAAGGGGACAGTCAAATGAGCCTCCAAAGGACATGGATGGTGGAAGAATCCATAGATGAGACAGACTGCTGACCAGGAAGTGAGCATGGGAAAGGCAGTGATACAGCCTTACTAACAGCTACTATAACAATTATTAAATCTTACAGAGAACTCACTAAGTGCTAGGTACTTTGGTTAGCACTGTTTACATTTTTCTCACTTAATCCTGCAGGCATTATTAGTATCCCCACTTCATAGGTGAGGCACTTACATAGTGTTACACAAACATTAAGAAAGCAAGTTGGGATTTGCATCCATATCAGCTCAATTTCAAACACCATGTTTTTAGCCACTATTCTCTACTGCCTCTCTATAGCTTATGAAGCCCAGCTCTTAAGAAATACTTTCTGCAAGTAGCTGCAACACTAGAAAGATGGCAGAGCAAGAGCAAAGAAAAATCCCTTTGGTTCCAGAAAATCTCCTGAAAAAGAGGAAGGTTTATCAAGCCCTCAAAGCCACCCAGGCAAAGCAGGCACTTTTGGCAAAGAAGGAGCAGAGGAAAGGAAAAGGGCTCAGGTTTAAGCAACTGGAGTCATTCCTACATGATTGTCAAGTCACAGAAATGTGACAAGGTGCATCTCAGACAACTAGAAGTGAAACCTCATGACTTGGAATTGCCAGATAAACATTCCTTGGCCTTTGCTGTATGCATCGAAAGGATTGATGGCGTGAGTTTACTGGTGCAGACCATTGCAAGACTTCGCCTAAAGAAAATTTTTAGTGGTGTCTTTGTAAAAGTCACCCCCCAGAACCTAAAAATGCTGCGTATAGTGGAACGTTGTGTGACCTGGGGATTTCCAAATCTGAAGTCTGTCTGGGAACTCATTTTGAAACGTGGACAATCCAAGGTCAAGAATAAGACCATCCCTCTGACAGACAACACAGTGATTGAGGAGCACCTGGGGAAGGTTGGCGTCATTTTCTTGAAAGACCTCATTTATGAAATTGCCTTCCCAGGGAAGCATTTCCAGGAGATCTTATGGTTCTTGTGCCCTTTCCACCTCTCAGTGGCCCATCATGCTACCAAAAATAGAGTGGGCTTCCTCAAGGAGATGGGCACACCTGGCTATCAGGGTGAATGCATCAATCAGCTCATCTGCCAGCTGAACTAGACCCAGGTGCCAAACTGCAGTAAATTTTTATCAATGAAGTGGAAGCATGTGTTTTTGTTTTCTGGGAATTTTTATCAAGTATCTTCAGAGAAGATTATTTCCTGCTTTGTCTTCAAAAACTGGAAAGGAAGGGTCAAAGAAAAGACAGTAGCTTATGTTCATGGCAAGCACCTCTCATCACAGCCCAGTTCCAAGGAAAAATTCCCAGTGTTTTCTATATTGTGGCTGCCGCCTCATCTGAAATCAGCACATTCCATGGGGGAAGGAGTCCTGCTTTGTTGCATCTGCTATCCCAGGTTTAATGTTGGTAAATGAGTAGCTCTAGCATTTGTATAAGGCTTCCTAAGACTCCTGCAGCAGTCGACCAAGCCCAGGGACATAATTGAATCTGGAGATTCCTGGGGCCTCGTTTTGAAAAAGACTTGAAATACACATAGGAAGTAAGGCACGAAAACAAATATTTACTTGTCTCTAAAAAAAAGAAAGAAGAAAGAAAGAGAAATACTTTCTGCTATATTGACTTTTCTCTTTACTAGCCTACTTAGTGAGATTTGAGTGTATTCACAATGAAGAATCTAGAGCAGTAGACCTGTGGGATATAATTTTAGGGGACTTTCATGTTTGTATAACCAGGTATTCCAGTTCTTTTCTCAAAAGTCAATCTAACAGATAAATCATCTTCCAAAATGGTCATAGTCAGTAAACAAAAGACTTTCAAAACACCTTAATAACTACAATCACTTTCTAATATAAGGCAACATCATTTTGATCTCAAAAAGAAACTGTTGCGTTTTGTGACAGAAGGAGAAACTGGATACAGACTGATCTCTCTTAGATAACTGGAGAAATCCATCTGAAACTGTTAAGCCTCTAGAAGAAGATGACTTCTAATTCAGAAAGTTTCTTTTTTTCTTGCACTGCTCAAAGATTGGATTTGGATCATTTCGTTTTCTCCCCTGTTTAGTTTCTGTGATTAGGTCCACAGAGTTTAAGAGATATGAGTCATAAACTTTGAAACACAAAGACCTCTGATTCATCTAGAATTTGTTGAGTAGATGAGTCAGTATATTGATTAACTTGAATGGCTACTGACACTTTTCCCTTTCATTACTAGTCATTCAGACACAGAATGGGTGGTGAGATACTTTTTCATACTTCTTTATCATCCGATTTTGTTTTCTGTGGTTTGTTAGCTTTTTTTTCTTGGTTATCTATACAGAGATGAAAACTAAGCGATAAACAAAGGCATTGATTGCGACAGTGAGTTGAATCACTTGGTCTTTAATTATGAACTACTTGGAGACTGTTAAAAATTCATGCAGGCTTGTATTCATAGTGGTACAGGTTTAAAAGTCATTAAGAAACAGCATGACTGGGTTAGATAATTAATATTTGGCTTGAAAAATAAAAACATTGCAATTACGAACAGCACGACCCATGGTCAATTATCTATCACATTTTTCCCAAGTAAATTCTAAAATCCAAATGAATTTATTATGAAATTAGCCATTCATTCATTCATTCATTCATTCATTCAGCAAACATTTATTATTTTTAACTACTGGGTGTCAGGAACTCTGCCAGAATCTGTCAAGGATCAGAGATGAAGAAAATCCCATTCCTACCCTCAAAGAGCTTATAATCTAACAAAGGAGTTAATACCTCTGCACACAAAATGCCCTTTAATACAAGATACATGTAGAAAATGAGCAAAGAGGCATCAAAGTAATTCAAGAAGAGATATACTTTCAATGGGGGAATATAGGAAAAGCATCATAGAATACATAGAGTTCTGAAAAGTAATAGGGAACAGAGAAGGCATGATCAGAAAGTAAAATGTCATGAAACATAAGGTATATTCAGGGACTGAAACTAAGATATTTTAACAACTACAAATGCATGACATAGGGCACTGCCTCTCGAACTCTATCATTTGTAAGAATCACTTGAAGATCTTGTTAAAATGCAGAGTATTTTTTGGTAGGTCTGGGGTGGGTTATGAGATTCTTCATTTTTAGCTAGCTCCCAAGTACTGCCCATTCTGTTGGTCCATGGACCACATTTTGAATGCCAAGGTCCTAGGGCACTGTACTAGAAGTCAAAGACTGAAGAGTGCTCACAGTCAACAGTGTGATACAGACAATAAGGGCAACAAGATCTTATAGGAAGGTGAAGTCAGTAAGCACTGGAGTTATTATAAAATGTTTCTTAGAAGAAGTAGAGCTAGAACTAAGATGTGAAAGTATAGAGGACTCACTCAGTCTAACATGTTGGAGAGGCAGAGATTCTAGGTAGGTAAAATATGGTGAGCAAATATGCAGAGGAATGCATATAGTCTGTCCGGGCAACAATAAGCAGACCAGTCTGGCTAGAGTGGAAGCTTTTTGGAGAGGATTAGTGGGTTACTATGCTAGAAGCATAGGGTTTAGACCAGATCATGGAGGTCCTTGAGAGTCAGACTAAGATGCTTCAAAATCAGCTTGAATGCAGGCTTGGCATGATGGAGATACAATATTGAAAAGTCAACAACAACAACAACAAAAAACCCCACAAAACTACCATCCTGTTACTAAGCCATGTACCCATAGCACTGGACCTCCCTGAAAGGTGCACTTTAAAATTTTTGTGCAGAGCTGCCATATGGGTACCCGGCAAGTAGGGCTGGTAAAATGAGTGCTTCACTTGTTGTGGCTTCCATAGAGAGTATATTTACTAATGTGTAGTACTACTGTATACCAGGAGGAAACATAAAGAATCAGAGATACTTAAAAAGCTAAAGATTAAGAGGATGGTCAGGTGGAAGACTGAGATTTGGAAGGCAATCATTTCAGCACTGGAGGATGGTAAAATTGCCCAGGAAGGAAGTCTGGAGCAAAAGTTCTTAACATTTTCTGCAGGGTCCTGGACTTCTTTGAAATTCAATTAAATTATGGCCCCTTTTACCCAAATGCATAAACAGATGTACACACAAATACAATTTGGCATAAACTTACCAAGGTTTCCTGGAACCCTCAGAAGCTTTTCCATTTCTTCCTAAGATTAGAAACCTTGCTTCTAAAGAGGAAAAAAAAAAAAAAAAGTGAAGGACAAAGCCTTGGAAGAGGAAGCAGTGAAGAAAAACAAGGAGCCCTCAGGCAAGAGGAGAAACCATATATTTCTTGTAAGATTGCCTGAGCCAAGGAAAAAGAGTTTCTAGAAGGAAATGTCAACATTACAATAGGTCATAGTTCAATGAGGAAGAGCATGTTGGATCCAACCATGTTGGATCATAGTTGCTTGCAAAAGAGAATGTTGAGTAGCATGCTGAAAATATAAACCCTAAGTTCAGGAGTAAGTAGACAATGAAGAAGTGGAGTTGGAAAGAAAGAGGATTATAAAAAGAGAGATAGTAGAAAAAATGAATAAGGTAGAGAGGAATTTTAGCATGAATGAGAAGAAAACTGAGGAAACTTGTGTCAGTAAATTAAGGTGTGAGGTTGTCAACTGAGGAGGGTTTGTAGAGTTGGAAGCTTGATGAAATGTTGGAATTGGCTGTCATAAACATAGGGAGTCCAGAAGGGATGAAATCAAGATCTTCAATAAGTATTTGATATATTACTAATGATGAAATATATGAAGCTTTTGAGCTTACCATGTTTCTCTCTGCCATCGTTCCCCAAGGATTGGCCATTTATATCTGCCATGGTCAACTGCAAGGCTAAATTCTTGAGGCAAAATGCTGGGCATATATGCTTCAAGTCATAATCTTCTCATGTTACTGAAAAGCTGTTTTCTGTAAACAACTTTCCAAGAGTTGTTACTTCACTCATCGGATGAAATTTCTCCCGTGAAGAGGCAGTGCTAACTGTATAGATCCACTGGACAGGCAGCCATTGACAGTGAAATAAATTAAAAATTTCATTGAAATTAGTGTAAACACATGCATATGGGGAAGAATTTCATATTAAAATGTGAATGTAAATCATGAATATCAGATAGCCAATCAGCAAGAATTTGAAATATATAACAGTTATTGTCATACTACCCAGAGTAGTGATAGTCCAATTTGGAACATTTGAATAGAGGAAGATTTTAGTTTCCTCTGCTTCCTGGCAAGGGTCTAAAGGTCTTGCGAGGGAAGTTATATGGATGAAAAAGAATAAAGATTGATCCAGGGGAGCATGGCGAGACACAAGCACATTTTGAAGGCAAAATATGTTGCTTGTGCCTGCCAAAATTGTGAATGGGTTTGTTAGATGGATTGAAATGTAACAACTATCTACACAGTAGGCAGTCCCAAAATCATCTGATTCACTTTTATCAGGTCTGATATATGGCACCCATTGAGATTACAGGTGTAAAGCTTGGTATGAACAGTAGCTTGTCAGAGAGGGCAGTTTCCCCTTTCTCCTTTTGAACTGGTGATTGCAGGAAGGAAGTGTTGCTGTTTTGATAATGGCACTGAATCTAGCCTTAGCAATTAAGGCTTCTACCTATGGCAAAACTTACATTTAATTTTAATTCATAAATAGTTAGATTTTTGTGACTCCACATGAATTTTATCGACATTTGTCCACATTACAAAAATGCAACACCAGATGACACATTTTGGCACTGCATTTAATCTCCATTTGAAAGACAGAGAATTGTAATGGGGAGTTGGCAGCGGTGTGTATCTGCATTTCTAGCTGGTTGTAGCATTTTACTTCTCTTTGAAGCTCTAAAAGTCATCACTTCTCATAAGCTGCAAGAAAATGGCTGGACTCTCTGAGATGTCCATATTTTACCATTGTCAATTTATCTGGAAGCTGAGAACACACTAATCAGTCATCTATGGCATTCTTACAAAATAACTGAACTAGAGAGCTGTGAAATACAGGGTCACTGCCTACCAGCCACTCAGTTGCTCTGAATAATGTGCAGGCAACATCATCTCCATTGAAAACCATTTTCTAAAAACCTAATTGCCCTTCTGGGGTTATTCTAAGAAGAGAAGGGCATAGAACCCAAGCCTTTGAAGAGGAGGACATGAACTCTGAACCCTCAGAGGTCACAAATGTCGCACAGTGACAGTGGAGCACACCTATGGAGAGCAGGAGAAACATGCTCAGCCATGCATGACCATCCAGTCAAGCATATGGCAAGAGCAATTTTCCCATTTGACATCTTCTTCCTTTTGGGCATCTCACAATCAATCAACCACTATTTTTGAGGGCCTACTATGTGCAGGGCCTTATGCTTGTGTCTGTGGTGATCTACCAAACTGGCTGGATTCAGAAAGGACAGCACAGAGGCCTTTGCTATAACTTGTCCGCCTTTCACCAGGATTTCCAAGGTTTCTGAATAGTCAAGTATAGTTATGGGGGCAGGCTTAGTGTTTTCTTTAATTGAAATACAAACATATAAAGGAAGCAGAATCTTCTCATTAAAAATTGAATATTAATGTTAAAACATTTTGTGTAGAACTAAGTTTTATGTGGAGCAAATTTTTGTTCTGAGGGCAAACTCCATGATACAGAATTTGAAGAGGAAGTTGGGAACTAACTTATCTGTGCTTGAAAAGTGCAGCAGAATACCAATTATGAAGAATTAGCTGCTATCCCCCCCCAACAAAAGGGACACATATTGTACTGCATTCTCATTCTGTTCTTTTCATTGACACGGGGAAAGGATACTACAACAGAAATGAAAAGGGAATGAGAGCCAAATTCATGGCTTGTGAATTTCACATGCTGAGATCTAGAATGTCTAGGCATGCGACCAGCCTGAATCAGCCTCCTCACCCACTCCCTTGGTATATACTCTCTGAGGGGCAATATAGTATCATCATCAAAGTGTGACCATCACAGACAGGCTGTATGAGTGAAAATCCCAACTCCACCACATGCTAGCTATGTGACCTTGGGAAAGGCCCTTAACTTCTCGGTGCCTCCGTTATTCCACCTGCAAAAATAGTGCCAAAAGTAGTACCTACCTCACTGGCACTATGCTTCCTGTACAGCCTGTATAACTATGAGCCAAATAAACCTCTTTTCTTCATAAATTAGGCAGCCTCAGGTATTCCTTTATAGCAACACAAATGGACTAACATGGGAAGGGTTGGATTACAGGAACTGTAGGCAGGTTCTAGGGTTTCAATAACAGATGTGACTTGTGCCACACTTTGCAGGTAGTGGACTAGGCAGCAGTGAGCCTCAAAGACATCTCTCTTGAACCCAACATGGCTGAGCAGCTATAGATTTGAAATGGATGAGGATGTCCCTAGGTTGAAGATACAGAGGTAGCCTCTCAGCTTCTGTCAGTCCCAGAGCAGCAAGAAAGAGGAGCTGGATGGTTTCCCATACACCAGAGATGGAGTCCAGGACTGAGAAAGCCAGAATGGGGAGAGGGCCCACAGAGGACAGTGAGAGTCAGAACAGTGACAACTTGTGTGGGTGTGCTATGGTTTGTATGTTTTTCACCTCCGAAACTCATGTTGAAATTTAATTGTCATTGAAACAGTATTATGAGGTAGGACCATTAAGAGGTTATTAGTCTTTGATGGCTGCACCCTCATGTATGGGATTAATGCTGTTATACAAGGGCAAGTTCCATTCCTTTTTTGTCTCTTCTTCTGCCTTCTGCCATGTGAAGATGCAGAAAGAAGGACCTCACCAGATCAGATGTCAGCACCTTGACCTTTGACTTCCAAGCCTCCATAACTGTGAGAGAATACATTTCTGTTCTTTATAAATTCCTCGGCCTCAGATATTCTGTTGTAACAAAACAAAACATACTAAGGCAGGGTGCCAACATGAGAAGATGGAGCCTGCTGACGACCAGTACACTTGACCCTGGAACTCCAGAGGTAAGTGGAAAGAGAGAGCCCCTGACCTGACTGAGATGGTATGTCTTCCATCTAGCAAAGTGGAGACCACTAAAAAAGGAATTAAATTGATTTATCAAAAAAGAAGTCACAAATTTTACATACTTGTGTTTAAGGCCTGAGATTCACGCCAAGGACTCATGTTTAGTTTTTTTTTTTTTTTTTAATAGTCACAACTATACTGTGCACTAGTTAATATTGTCCTCACTTTATAGATGGGGAATGTGAAGCTAAGGAAGACTAAGCAATTTATCTAAGGTCACAAGCCTAGCAAGTGACAGAGCTAGAATTCCAACCAGGTCTCTGGATATAAAGGCCATGCCTGATCTTCCCACTCTGGCACTCTGCTTCTCAAGAGCTTGGAGGGACTATGCAAGTCTAGATCTCAATAAAGCAGGACTAAGATGGTCTCTATCAAATGATATAAAGCACACTTTATATCTTCTCCTGAACCTCCTTCTCTGCCCACAACTTGAGCAGGTCCATTCCATGTGCTGAAATGAACCTCCTAGCCAGGGCAAACGCCTTAGCCTTGCCATACCTCCATCTCACCTTTAACTTGTGCCTTCTTGAATCTATCTTCTACTGATAATTTTCCATATTAAACCACATAAAATGATAACTCTCCAATTAATTTAAAAGATCTAGGATTGAACAGAAGAAATATTAAGCTAATACACAGATTTAGAATCAAAAGAAATCAGGTCCAATGTCAACCCTCATAATAAGAGACCATGCTAAAATAAACCATAGGAGGTACAGTGCAAGTATTGGAGGGCATGACTACATTGTTTTTTTCTTTTTTTTTTTTTGATAATAAAAAGGCACCTGGTAGAGAGCCAATATTGGAGTCAAATTTACCTTATTTTCATGAATCTTTACACAACTATCTAAGCCACAGAACTTAAACACTTCATAGAAGCACACATGAGGTGCTTTTATTTGTAAAAATCTCCCCTACTTATGCAAAGAATATTGAATCTTATTTCCTTTCTATGTTTGGAATTCTGGCTAAGCTTATTTAAATCTTTACTGACTTACCTTTAAGCAGTATCTGATTTGAATGCTTCCATTGCCTAATGCTAATATTACATTTTTCTTGATGCTTTTGGTTTCGCCTTACTTCTTAGTCGGGTATGTCATTTTTAGAAATAGATGATCATAGTCAAAATAATGCAACAAGGGGTAAATATACACAGAGAAATGTTATTTTGCATTTTCTATAGATGATAAGACTATCCCAGGTATGCATGCACAGGACTAAGCAGGCATAATTTTCACCTTTTGAATATAGTATAATAAAGTCAATGCCTGATTATCTGTATGTACTGTATTTTTTTTGTGAATTGTTTGCATTAATTTTAATGCCTCTATCAGCTTCCCACAACTCCATGCAACATTCCTCCAAATCAACTTCCCCCATTGACTGGAATTATTTACATTTTCATTTGCTGAAAATACTGACTTATAAAACACAATTAGGAAAGTAGGCTTAATTAAAAGACAAAGTATTCTAAGCTAAGATAGAGAACACATCCAAAGCCAAACAAATGACTTAGGGTTTTTGGACTTCTTGAGTTATCTGTACTACAATGCCCCTCTCTTTTATGGGTCATTGAGAGTTGGCTGTAATTTCCATTTGGTGTTAAATCATGAACATATGAGTAGATATAAGCCAAGAAGCATGTACATCATCCATATGGAGCTGTTACAGAAAATACCCTGCTGATGCTGAAACAGTGAAAATAAGAAGCCAATCTTGCTGGAACAGTAAAAATAAATGTGAAGATCGTGAAGATAAAAGACCAGAGTATAGAAAAGTTGACCTTAATTTTCTTATTTTTTTCTATGCTACTCATTGTTCTATTTTTCAAATAAAAATTGCTGTTGAATACAGAGATTTGCATAAAATTCATGAAAAGTTGCATGCTAGAGGGCAGGACAAGAGAGCTTTTCAGCATAAGTGCACATATTTGTATCTCTCAGAATAATTAGTCATAGCGAACCAAGCAAACTACGTTTTTACCGTGGTGAACATTGCAAACCATTATTCAGTTATCTGTGAAAACTTCAAATGCCCTTTTCAAACACTTTTTAAAAATAGAATAGTGAATCTGTGTATTTGAGAAAAATACAGATAAGAATATGCTATATACTATCCAAGTAACTTATTAAGTCTTAAAAGAATTTTTCTTGGAGACTAAGCATCATATTTTGTAAAATTATACAGATTTAAAATGCAATAAGGTCATGTTTATCCTGCAGAAATTTGAAAACTGACATTGGTTTTAAACTTTGGTCAAATTTATTCTTGCTTTTTGACTGGGTCATTTTAGTAGTTCATTTAAAAATCATTCTAAGTAAAGTACAGTATTTGTTGTATTATTAAGGAGAATAAAGAGGAAAATCGAACAGTGAAATCTTTTTTATTTTTTCTATCATGGTTTTATTTGACTTTACATGGCTACATGGCTGAAATATCAAGGTTGGGTTATTTTTTGCATTATCTGTTTATCTTCCTTTTATAGATAAATAGCATTAGGATTTTGCTGTTGGCAAATCACCTCTTGCTTTTGATCATGATACAAGTTAACTCTCTAGCTTATGTCCAGCTAGAAAAAAAAAAGGAAACTAGCATAAGAATGGCAAATGCCATGGCTCACTCCTGTAATCCCAGCACTTTGGGAGGCCGATGCGGGTGCATCACGAGGTCAGGAGATCGAGACCATCCTGGCTAACACAGTGAAACCCTGTCTCTACTAAAAATACAAAAAAATTAGCCTGGCGTGGTGGTGGGCGCCTATAGTCCCAGCTACTCGGGAGGCTGAGGCAGGAGAATGGTGTGAACCCAGGAGGCAGAGCTTGCAGTGAGCCGAGATCGCGCCACTGCACTCCAGCCTGGGCGACAGAGCAAGACTCCATCTCAACTACAACAACAACAACAACAAAAACAACAAAAAATGGCAAATGCCTTATTTATTGACAGAAACAGTGGACCAAGACATTTGAAATCAGTTAATTCATCTGAAATAGTGGTCCCAGGTGGACCCAGATTTGAGACTTCAGTTCTATTTAGCACAACAGGGGTATAAACTAGTCAGAAATATATTATTTCAGAAACCTGAACCACAAAGTGGTCCAGGAAACAGCCTGCAAAGGTGGAAAGAGCAATGGATGAAGACTCAGGAAACCTAAGGTCAAGTCCTACTACTTTCACTAAGAAACAGGGAGACTTTGGCCAAGTCATTTCCCCTCTCTGAGCCTATGATTCTCATCTGCAAAGTAAGAACAATAATACGTCTTCTGTTTTCTTGGGAGGATAAAATCAAATCAAAGTTTTGCAAACAATAAAATGCCAGAGCTTTGTACTTCATTCTCAGTATTGAGAAAAAGTTTTGCTATTCTCCTATAAGAATTAACTATTGGTTGTTTATCTTTATGTCATGTGTAATATATAATTTGTTGTTGTTTAATAACTGTATAATGTTCCTATTCCACTAGGATGCCAGCTGGTATAGTTTACACTGAAGTCAAAACAGATAAATACAGAGATGAATCATATCAGAAAGAATAGTGGAAGCATTCGTAAGTGTTATATGTTAATGGTTATGCCCAAATCAGTTTCCATACCCAGTATTTCCATTAGGAATTTATGAAAAGTGGTTTGATTTCTTTGAGCTTCTAAATTCTATTTCGATGCCTTGTTGTTCCCTAATCCTAATTCCCTAATTTTGAAAGCCTATAAACCATCAACAGTCTTTACAATTGATTGACTAGAATATGCAGAGGGCACTGTGGGTATTCTCAAGTGGTGGCACTCAAAAAGGAACCAGGTCATTATCTGTACTCATTTTTTTTTTCAGTGACACAATGTTGCAGTGACATTATCAGTCTCTTAATCACTCAGTCAGACAATGTCACCATCTCTAAGCACTAAGCAAGCAACAGAGCACTATAGTTACGTAGGCTGTGCCTTGCTTGCATACTCCCTACACTTCCGCTGAGTACCCCACACCATCTTTCCAAATACACAAGTAGGGCTTTGTACCCCTTCCTTAAGCCAGAGGGTGTAAGTACAACAGAATGGTCAGAATGAGAAAAACTTTGAACTCCATATTTTGGTTATAGTAAGTAGTCTTAAAGTGTCAATGACAATTATTGTCATTTAGAAAGCATTTGGACTACAAGTATTCTTGGATGTCTTTCCTAGAACTGCTAGTGGCACCACTTAACTATTTTGGAACCATTGGCATACACATTGTTGGCTGGAAAATTCAACAGCCATTTCCAACTCTCTTCTCCCTGCTTCCTACAGATGTTGGAAGGCTAGGTACTTATAGCTAGGTTTGGCCAGAATTTGTTTGAGACTTGGGGAAACTATTGTGGTTTCCTGATAACAAAGCACGTGTGTCTTCTCCTTTTCATTCTTCCTGCTAAATTGAAGACATAATGTCTGAAGCTATAGCAGCCTTCATGTGACCATAAGGTGATAAAACCTCACCACACACACACACACACACACACACACACACACACACACACACACACACACAAACCCAAAGGCCAAAACTTTGAGTGTAGCAGAATAAAGAGATGGAAAGAGCCTGAATTCTTGAGGACACTGTTAAGCTGTTTGCTCAACAATGAGACTGCCTTACTTCATACTTAACAGTGAATATCCTCATAGATTCAAACTATACTCATCATCCGGTATTAGTTACTTTCAACCTAAAGCTTTCCTAATGAATATAAGAAGTATTCATAGGGAATATTGGCAGTTTTAGAAAGGTGAATAACATTTTTCCTTAGAAATGCCCATGTCATCCATCACTTAGATTGCAAAAGCAAAAGATTAATAAAGTATATACGAAGGAGGAGCCTGATAGTAGAATTTTTTTATTAGACATCATTTTCATATCAAAAATTTTGAATTGTCCATTGCTAATGGGAAGTCCTCTCACCTTAAATTTAAATTCTTATCTTTTAATCTCTATTGAATTATAGCAATATTTTTGTTATTTTCTACCCTCCATAAAAGGGAGTAAACTTAGTATCTACAATGTTGGGATAAAAGGCATCTTTAAATCTCTAAAAAAAAACATAAACAGACATCAAGTAGTAATTGTAGTACAGCAGCCTGCAACCTGCCTGCTAATGTAGCCTACAAAAATGACAAAAAAAGGAAGAAATGAATCAATATAAAAACCATGCCCTTATCATAGCTTAAGGACAGAGAATGCCCAAACTTCAAAGTAACTGTGAGTGAAAAGATAAAATTCACCTATTCCCAGAGTTTCATCTCTCGTGGTCCTGGCCCATGTCTGTCCTACTGTAAGGCTCTGTGGCCAGCAAAGGCAGACTGTAAGCAAACAAACAAACAAAAAACCTCAGGGAAGACAAATGAGGGAAGCTAGGAAAATGTGCTAAGTTTATTTTAAATCTACTTCCAGAAAGAGTAAGTCCACTTTAATCCCGAAAATACTAAAATAAAAAGTTTCTAGGAAGATGAGAACATGAACTATAAGGAGAGAACTTAAAATTATACATAATTAAAAGGGGCACATATGGTTTAAAGGAGTCAAGCACTCTTTAAGCAGGCAGGCATGATGTAAAAGAGCAGGCATGATATGAAGGAATTGGCTTCAAAACACATAGCTTTGGCAGGGAGAAGAAAAGTAAGAAGGAAAGGAAAAGAAATATTTGACAATTGGGTAGTCAAAAGGAATACAAAGGCAAAGGGGGGAAATTTAGGGCCCTGCAAGACAAAAGAGAACCACATCATCTAAGCACTTACAACTCCCACATCACAGCCAAAGTACCTGGTCCTTTCTATACTGACAAAAGAAGATGGCATTTAATTTGCAGTCTTATAAAAATAACTCAGTACCATAAAAATGAACAAAAGAAAACTGAAGTTAACAAAGCTATGACAGAAAATTAGGAAACAAAATATCATATATATGAACTGAGGAACCCCCCCCCCGAAAAAAAACCTATGAATCATATAAAGAAGTAAGTCAACACACCAAATAGAATTAAATAAATTTAAACAAGCTTGTGAGGCTATAAAAAACTACCTTGAGTCAGAAAGTCAAACACTAAAAGTAGAAATGAACTAAACACTGGAAGAAGTAAGAGAGATGAGTAAACTCTGCAAATAAATGGAAGAAAAATACAAAATTATCTTATAAAAGAAGAATAAATTACAAGGGATCCAAGGGAGAAGGAATGGGTTGAAATGAAAATGTAATAAGGGGCATTGAAAAAAAAATGCAATAAGGGGCAGAGAAAAAAAAGCAAAAAGATTAAAAGACCACAAAATATAAGTAAAAAACAGTCAAAAGGAAGGTAGTGGAAATGGAAGAGAGGTAAAGAAGGAATAATATTTCTATTATTGGAGTCCCTGGAGAAAAAATGCAGAAACACTGAAACAGGACTAATATTTAAAACTATGAAACAAATATCTTCCCAGAAATAGAAAAATGCCTGAGTTGACCCATGAGTACTTAGGGAAATTAACAGAATTTTCAACTCTAAAACATGACCTGGTAACATGATTACATTTAAAAAATAAAAGTAAAATCTTCTAGGCCTCTAGGCAAAGCGATCGATTAACTTACAAAACAATTGGACTGGCACAGAATTTTCATAATCAACATACAAGCAGAACAGCAATGAAGCAGCATTTTGAAAATAAAATGCTCAATGAAATAAAGTATAAACCAATAATTGTACATATTAATACAATCAGGCTCTCCTTCAAGTTTCAAGACTAGAAAACCAGTTTTCAACATTCAATAATTTAAAGAATTTGATATTCATCACCTTGTTCTGTGGAATACACTAGGGGATAAGTTTCATCCAATCAAGTTATGACTGTGAAACTTCTGCAAAAGAACATATGGTGACATATTAAAACTATAAAAGTACAGCTAAGACAAAAAGTATGAGTGAGGGTGACATATACACACACAAAAATCATCTATTGTGATAAAGTGGAAATAACGTAACTAAAATTGAGAGGAGGAAGCGTGAAAGAAAAAATGTAAAGGTCACTGCTGTGTATTGAAGAATACAAATTGATTTTCTCTATTGTGTTTATTTTTTTCAATTGAATAGAGCTTTCTTCTAATCTTTATTACTTACTTTCTTCTCTTAACTTTGCATCTAACTTGCTCTTTATTTTCTAGTTATTTAAGGTAGAATCAGGTTACTAACTTTAGATCTTTCTTCTTTTCTGATGTATACATTTAATGATATACATTTACCTCTGCGTGCTACATTAACTGCATCCCACAGATTTTGATATTCAGTATCAAAATGTATTCAGTTCAAAAGACTTTTTAATTTTTCTTCCAATTGCCTCTTTGATCTATGTGTTATTTAGAATGTGTTGTTTATTTTCCAAACATCTGGGTATTTTACAGATACCTTTTTGTTATTGATTTCTATATTAAGACCATTACAGTCCAAAAATACACTTGATTATTTCTATTCTTTCAAATGTGTTGAGCTGTTATTTCATGGTTCAGAATATGGCCTACCATGTGCACTTGGAAAGAATGTGTATTCCGCTGCTGCTGGGTAGAACATTCTATTAATATCAGTGAGGTAAAGTTGGTTGATAGTGTTGTTCAGGTCATCTATATACTTTCCGATTTTCTGCCATCTTGTTTTATCAATAACTCAAAGAGGCGTATTAAAGTCTTCCACTCTAAGTATGAATTTGTCTATTTCTCCTTTCAAATTGATCAGTCTTTTTGCCTCATGTATTTTGAAGCTCTGTTATTAGATGCATATACATTTTCTAATTGTTATGTCTTCTTGAGGAATTAACCATCATTATGTAATTTCCCTTTTTCCCTCTAATGATATTCTGAAGTCTACTTTGCCTGTAATTAATACAGTTTCCTTTTAGTTAATGTTTGCATGATATATCTTTGTTCATCTTTTAATTTTAACTTAACCATTCATTTGTATTTAAGGTGGGTTTCTTATCAACACAAGGATATATATTAGTGCTAAAAGTCATAATTTAGAATACAAATATATGACTTATAAATATTTATGCACCAAATAAGATAGCAACCACCTTTATGAAGCAAAAAATACAGGAGATGGCATTAATAATGGGAGAGATTAATAAACTAATTCCAGTACAAGGCAGATCACATTGACAAAACATAAGCAAGGATAGAGAAAATCTAAACAACACAATCAATAAAGTGTATTTTATGGATATATATTGAATGTCCTTATAATAGCAAATACGCATTTTTCTGAATCAGTTGTGGCACAGTCACAATACTGATCAATACTGGAATGTAAAGAATAGCTATACCGGCTTGGTTACATTCAGAAAAAGCTATAACAATAGTAAAAAGTAAAAATCAAGTAAAAATATTGCATGCAATACTCTAATCACAGTATAATGAAAGAAAACATTGTTATTTAAAAAGCCAGAAAATAGAAAAGGACCTTCAACCTGAAATTCAAAAAAATCTTTTTTTTTTTTTTTTTTTTTTTGAGACAGAGTCTTACTCTGTTGCCCAGGCTGGAGTGCAGTGGCACAATCTTGGCTCACTGCAACCTCTGCCTCCCAGGTTGAAGCGATTCTCCTGCCTCAGCCTCCCGAGGAGCTGGGACTACAGGCATGCACCACTATGCCTGGCTAATTTTTGTATTTTTAGTAGTGATGAGGTTTCATCATGTTATCCAGGCTTGTCTAAAACTCCTGACCTCAGGCCATCCACCCGCCTCAGCCTCCCAAAGTGCTGGGATTACAGGCATGAGCCACTGCACCTGGCCAACAACTCTTGAATATAAGAGAAAATGTAAATTGATGTTATAGAATTTAAAAATAAAATAATGACATTAAAAACATTTCTTATCAGAATCTATGGAATGCACTCAAAACAGTGAATTAGGGGATAATTCACTACATTATACACTTACTGATAAAAGTGGACATTTGAAAATAAATGAAATGCCCAGCTCTAAAAAACTAAAAGGAGAAACACTAATAAATAAACAACAAAGTAAACAAAAAAAAATGAACAAGGAAGAATGTAAAGTTAAAAATAGAAATTAATAAAGCAGAGAATAGAAAAAAGTAGGTCTAATTAATCATTAAAAATTATTGGGGATTTTTTTCTCAATGTTACCAAAACATCAAAATCAGTAACTAACTAAATAAAGAAACAAAGAAGGAAGTAAAATTGTGCAGAAAAAGAACTGATAAGAGGGAAGAAATTTAAATAAAATCTAAAGATACTACTTTTCAGACCTCTTTGTAAATACGTTGAAAACCTAGAAAAATGGGTAATTTTTAATGAAAATCCACTTACTAAAAATAAGCTCATTCAATATAGAAAATTTAAGCAGACCAATTTTCATAGGAATAGAGAAAGTTTTAAGGATTTATCTTATATTTTTAAAAAGTCACACTCAAATAGTTTTATAGGGGAACTCTACCAAGCTTTGAAATGTTAGATTGTCTCAATGGGCTATAAATTCTTTCTAAGCATTGAAAAGGAAGGAAAACTTTCTAATTACTTTCATGAAGTGAATATAACATAAGTAACTAAATCAGATGAATGTAATATTAAGAAACTAAACTAGAGAATAGTATCACCTATGATTATAATGCAAAAATGATAAATAAAATATTATTAAATAGATTGCAATATCATATTATGAAAATAATATACCATAATCATGTGAGATTTATTCCAGGCATGTAAGGTTGGTTCAACAATAGAATATTCATTAATATACTATATTAATAAATCTAAAAAATGCACAATTATGTCCATAGATGCTAAAAAAACCTTCAGCAAATTTCATTAATTTATAAAAATAAAACAAAACACTGAAGAAAACAATAATTTAATATATGACAAAAGTGTTAAGTCACCAAGGTAAGATGGAATAAAGGACTTTCTCGTAGGTTGTTCTGGAAAAACTGGGAAGCCAATTGATGAAAAAGAAAAGATTAATTACATCCTCATTTCACATCAATAGACTCCAAATGGATCGGGATCCAAAGGTCAAAAATACAACCTTACAAGTACAAGAAGAATACTGAGAGAATTCTTCTTTAACCTTAAGGTAAACAAACTTTAAGACCCCAAATCCAGAGCCAAAAAAGAAAAGATTGATGAATTTGACTACATACAATTAAAAGATACATGAAAAATATTATATAAAAAGCCAAAGACATCTGATAAACAGGGAGAAATATATTTGCAACATATACTACAGACAAAAGACTTATATCCTTATGATATAAAAACTGTTAGAAATTGAGGAACAAAGCTTCTACACAACAAAAGAAACTATCAAATAGCAAACAAACAACCTACAGAATGGGAGAAGATATTTGCAAACTATGCATCCAACAAAGGCCTAATATCCAGAACCTAAGGGCACTTAAACAAATCAATAAGCAAAAACAATCCCATGAAAAAATGGACAATAGACATGAAAAGACACTTCTCAAAAGAAGACATACAAATGGCCAGGAAATATATACGAAATGCTCAATATCATTAATCATCAGAGAAATTCAAATCAAAGCCACAATGAGATACCATCTCACACCGGTCAGAACGGCTATTACTAAAATGTAAAAAAACAACAGATGCTGGCAAGGCTATGGAGAAAAGGGAATGCGTATACACTGGTGGTAGGAATGCAACTTAGTCCAGCCACTGTGGAAAGCAGTCTGGAGATTTCTCAGAGAGCTTAAAATAGAGCTCCCATTCAACCCAGCAATCCTATTACTGGATATATACCCCAAAGAAAAGAAATCATTCCACCAAAAAATCATATGAATTCATAAGTTCATTGCCACACTATTCACAATAGCAAAGACATGGAATCAACCTAGGTGCCAATTAATGTTTGATTGGAAAAAGAAAACATGGCACATATATATGCACCATGGAATATTATGCAGGCATAAAAAAGAAAAAAGATTATGTCTTTTGCAGGAACATGGATGGAGCTGGAGGCTACTATCATTAGCAAACTAATGTAGGAACAGAAAACCAAATACTGCATGTTCTCACTTATAAATGGGAACTAGCCATTGAGCACACATGGTCATAAATATGGGAATAATAGACACTGTGGACAACTAATGGGTGTTTGGAGGGAGGGGTTTGGGTTTAAAAACCACCTATCAGGTACTATGATCACTACCTGGGTGGCGGGATTCACACTTCAAACCTCAGCATCATGTAATATTCCTATGTAACAAGCCTGCACATATACCCCTTGTATCTAAAATAAAAGTTGAAATGAAAAAATTAAGGAACAAATGACCAAGACTTTGATAGGGAAGACAAGAAGAGGCAATGCACAAATACACACATACAAACACACACTTCCATACAGATACACACAGACACACACACGCTCTTCCTACTTCTGTCTGCCAGGACACCTGGGAGCAAGAATACCCCAGTAGCAATGAACACATCCAGTGCCCAGATCTTGGTCTCGAAACTCCTTGCTTCCATAAAGGGAACCAGGAACTCTCAAAGAAGTGGTTGATTCTGGAGCTGGGGCAAAGAAAACACAAGATGATCCTGGAATATCTTGTGGTAATAAAAAATAAGGAAATGCTCAAAAAGGATGGATGCACATCAGAAGAAAACCACAGTCCTTAATTAAACTAAAGAGCTTTTGCATGGCAAAAGGAACAGTCAGCAGAGTAAACAGACAACCCACAGAGTGGGAGAAAATCTTCACAGTGTATACATCTGACAAAGGCCTAATATCCAGATTCTACAACAAACTCCAACAAATTAGCAACAAAATAAAAAAAAATGTGGGCCAAGGACATGAATAGACAATTCTCAAAAGAAGATATACAAATGGCCAACAAACATATGAAAAAATGCTCAACATCACTAATGATCAGGGAAATGCAAATCAAAACCACAATGCGATACCACCTCACTCCTGCAAGAATGGCCATGATCAAAAAATCAAAAAACAGTAGATGTTGGCATGGACGCGGTGATGACCAGGGGACACTTCTACACTGCTGGTGGGAATGTAAACTAGTACAGCCACTATGGAAAACAGTGTCGAGATTCCTTAAAGAACTAAAAATAGAACTACCATTTGATCCAGCAATTCCACTACTGGGTATCTACTCAGAGGAAAATAAGTCATTATACGAAAAAGATACTTGCACATGCATGTTTATAGTGGCAAAATTCACAATAGCAAAAATATGGAACCAGCCCAAATGCCCATCAATCAACGAGTGGATAAATAAACTGTGATTATATATATACACACACATATATTAAATATATATTGTGATATATATGATATATAAATATGGAACCAGCCCAAATGCCCATCAATCAATGAGTGGATAAATAAACTGTGGTATATATATATATATATATATATATATATATATATATATATATATACACACACACACACACACACACACACACACACATATATCATACATATCGTGATATATATGATATATATATGATGGAATACTACTCAGCCATAAAAAGGAATGAATTAATGGCATTTGCAGTGACCTGGATGAGATTGGAGACTATTATCCTAAGTGAAGTAACTCAGGAATGGAAAATCAAACATCTTATGTTCTCACTCATATGTGGGAGCTAAGCTATGAGAATGTAAAGGCTTATGAATGACACAATGGACTTTGAGGACTCAGGGGGAAAGAGTGGGAAGGGGGTGAGGGATAAAAGACTACCAATTGGGTGCAGTGCATACTGCTCGGGTGATGGGTGCACCAAAATCTCACAAATCACCACTAAAGAACTTACTCAAGTAACCAAACACCACCTGTCCCCAGTAACCTATGGAAATAAAAAAATTAAAAAAAAAAAAAAAGAAAGAAAGAAAATCAGATTCCAAAATGACAGCACTCCCAATGGCCAAAAATGGAACAGTTTGGAAATAAAATACATAATGATGATACTGGATTATAATTTATAGAATAAAATTAACATCCATGAATCCATATTGATATAAATAATTCAAAAAATGGGGAGAGGGGTTGGGTAATTCATTCTAACAGAATAATACCAATTGATAAATGCAGAAGGAAAGAGAGAAATAGAAAATAACCACTAAAACATCACAGTAAGCTAGGCATTGTGGTGCATGCCTGTAGTCCCAATTACTTGGGAGGCTGAGGCAGAAAGATTGCTTGAGCCAAGGGGTTCAAGGCCAGCCTGGGCAACATAGCAAGACCCCATCTGTTAAAACAAACAAAGAACCAGCACAGTAAAGAAGAAATCTAGATGACCTAGAGTTTGTTGATGATTTTTTAGATATAACACCAAAGGCACAATCCATGAAAGAAAAAATTGATGAGCTGGGAATCATTAAAATAAAAAATATTCTGCTCTGTGAAAGACACTCTCAAGAGAATGACAAGGCAAGCCACTGATTGAGAGATAATATTTATAAAAAGAAATCTGATAAAAGACTGTTATTCAAAAGAAAACACAAAACAAGACTGAAATATGAGCCAAAGAACTTAACAGACATCTCACTAAAGAAGATATACAGATAATGAATAAGCATATAAGATGCTCCACATCATATTATCAGGGAAATACAAATTAAAACAATGAGATACCACTACACATCTATTCAAATAGCCAAAATCCAGAACACTGACAACATCAAATGCTGGTGAGGATGTGGAACAGCAGTAACTCTCATTCATAGCTGGTGGGAATACAAAATGGTACAGACACTTTAGATGACATTTTGGCAAGTTCTTACATAACTAAACATACTCTTACCATAAGATCCGGCAATCGTGCTTCTTGTTATTTACCCAAAGGAGTTGAAAACTCATGTCCACACAAAAACCTGCACACAGATAATGTCTATTCATAATTGCCAAAACTTAGAAGCAACTAAGATGTCCTTCAGTGATTGAATGGATAAACTGTAGAATATCCAGATAATGGAACATTATTCAGTGCTAAAAAGAAATAAGCTATCAAGCCATAAAAAGATATGGAGGAAACTTAAATGCACATTACCATGTGAAAGAAGCCAATATGAAAAGGCTACATATTGCATGATTCCAACTGTATGACATTCTGGAAAAGGCAAACCTATGGAGACAGTAAAAAGACCAATGGTTGTCCAGGGTTAAGAAAGGAGGGAGGAATGAATAGGCAGAAAACAGGGGACTTTTAGGGCAGTGAAACTACTTTGTATGATACTGTAATGGTGGATATATGTCATTATACATTTGTCCAAACCCATTGAATGTACAATGCCAAGAGTGAATCCTAATGTAAACTATGGATCCTCGGTGATAATGATGTGTCAATGTAGGTTCATTGATTTCAACAAATGCACCACTCTGTGGAGGATGTTGATAATGGGGAAGGCTGTGTATGTGTGGAGACAGAAGGTATATGGAAAATCTCTGTACTGTCTGCTCAATTTTGCTGTGAAACTAAAAGTGTTCTAAAGGTAAACTTTGTATAAAAATAAATAAATAGCTTTGGGCATATATAGTTTAAAAAGAAATAAATACTTGCTTATCCCTAAAACTGGGGATGGTGAGAGCAAGCATGGAATAAGCAGAGAAGGGAATTCAAATCCATAACTATTAGGTTGGTGCAAAAATAATTGCAGTTTTTGCCATTACTTTTGATGACAGAAAGCCCAGCTACTTTTAAGCTAGGCACTGTTACAAATTTAATAGTCATTTTCCATTTCAACATCCCAAGAACCTGACTTGATATTTTGTAAGTGGACACAAAAGATGTTCAAAAATGTGTAGTGACTTGCTCAAGGTCACACAGCTCTTAAATTGGAAGATTTCTGGTAATACTTATTTTTTATGTTTATTTGTATTTTCTACATTTTCCTAGATTTAACATATATTTTGTTGGGGAATTTTTCAAATATCAAAGAAATATTAAATTATTTGAATTTGTTTAGGTCTTTTAAAGCAATTGTTTAAATATTCCTAGAGTACTACATTAAATCAATAGAATTATAGAAAACTTGCTGCTTGAGCTATACTTTTTCCAGGTCAGTGAGCAGGTAAATCACTACTGCCTAGACCTAGAAAAGGAAGGGATTGGGGATTCCAGTTGACCCTTGAACAACACGGATTTTAACTGTGAGGGTCCACTTATACGTGGATTTTATTCAGTATGTTACATCTAGTGTGCCCACCTCTCCTGCCTTCCCGTCTACTTCCTTCACCTCTTCTGTCTCTGCTACCTCCCTTCTACTTCCTTCACCTCTTCTGTCTCTGCTACCTCCCTTCTACTTCCTTCACCTCTTCTGTCTCTGCTACCCATGAGACAGCAAGACCATCCCCTCCTCTTCCTCTTCATCCTCAGCCAACTCAATGTGAAGATGATGAGGATAAAGACCTTTATGATGACCCACTTCTGCTTAATGGAATAGTAAATATATTTTAAATATATTTTATCTTCCTTATGATAGTTTTACTAATACTTTATTTTCTCTAGCTTACCTTATAAGAATACAATATATAATATATATAACATACAAAATATGTTAATTTATTGTTTCAATTGTCAGTAAGGCTTCTGGTCAACAGTAGGCTATTAGTAGTTTAGTGTTGGGGCAGTCAAAGTTTATATGCAGATATTTAACTGTTCTAGGGGTTGGTGCTCCAACCCCTGTGTTGTTCAAGGGTCAAAGGTGCTTTGAACCAGCTTAGTCCTCTATCATAACAGCCCCCCATAATGTAAGGCCTCCTCAGACTTGACAAACATGATGTTTAGGTCTTAATCAAACCCACTGATTAAAATGTTAAATTTGAATACAGAAGAGCTAATAGTGATCCCAGTATACCTCACCATAAGGACTTTTTTAGGTCCTGTGAAGAACTACAAAATCCTAGTCATTTTTGGTTATCAGCAGATAGTAAACTCATTTGGTTGTTCAAATCCCTCTCCTTCTTATGCTTCATTAGGTACTGACCCTTGACTCTCCATTGGAAAACACACTTAGGGAGACTGTGGGTAAAGGGCTAGCTATAAGGAGACATTAAGCCGAAGTCTTCCAAAGCAATGTGGTGGAAAATGAGCTGTCAGTAAACCCTGGATCTTGTGTCATCCCGGCCCACTTTGTGACTTCAGCAAGGCTTTTGTCTTTTTTGAGTCTTCTCACTTTCTAAATGAGGGATGTCCTGGAAAGGAGTGGAACATTACAGAGGAACAGACCTCAATTTGAGTGTTGGCTCTGTGACCTATCAGCAGTGTGATGTTGAACAAGTTAGTTAAGTTCTTGAAGCCTTGGTTTCCTCACCTGCTGTGATGGTTAATTTTACATGTCAACTTGACTAAGCCATATGGGCAAAGATGTGAGGATAAACCGATTATTTTTATAGTCTCAAAGTATCTTCCACAAGGTATTTATTAATTACAAGGAGAAAATTACAGTGGAGAAAGCCAGCAGATACTTTATTAACGTTAATGCCACCAATGATAACATCACGAAATCCATGATGAGACATACTGAGAAGGTTACAGTATTACTTCTGTGATATTCTTGCCAAAAATGCATAGCCTCAATCTAATCATGAGAAAACATCAGATACACTCAAATTGAAAGACATTCTAAAAATAACTGACCAATATTATGAAAGTCAGGGACAGACTGAGTAACTATTTCAGACTGGAGAAGACTAGGGTGGCAGGACAACTAAATGCAGTGTGGGATCCAGAATTGGATCTTCAGACAGAAAAAAAATGTCATGAGAGCAGAAAGTGGTGACATTTGGATAGTTTCTGCAGTTTAGTTACTAGTACTGTACCAATTGTAATTTGTATCAAAATACAAATAATTTGTATGATTATATAAGATATTTACACTAGGGGAGGCTGGGTGAAGGATAAATGGCAACTTTCTGTATTATTTTTGCAACTGCTCTGTATGCCTAAAGTTATTTCTTATTTAAAAAAAGTACAAATTAGAAAGACCTGCCCTTCTGAAGCTATCATTCTGAGAAAAAATAAAGGAAAAAAAAGAAAAAGCATAATCATGTAAGTTAAAAAAAGACCAAAAACCCTGGACCTATCCCCCAGGAAATATAGTGAAAACCTGGGGTAAAGCACGGCCTTAAGCCTTCGAGAGGCTAAATATACAAATATAGATTCTTGCACTTTCATAGGTTCTGTTTGCTGACTTGAGTTGCTGCAATGGTTCTTTTATGATTCCTTGCTGTCTTTTCAATGTTGGTATGAATATATGGAGCCCTACATAGTTTGAATCAGGTGTAACAAGGACATCATCTCTGATTTCCCCACCCCTTTCAATTTCCTTCAACGGTTTTGTCTCCAGAATAGATTGCCTTTTCCACTTCTTCAAAGGGATATACCTCACTGAGAAGGTTTCTACTAATTTACATATCTTAGATAATATAAGGCAGATTTTTGAGACCCAGTGGGGATTGGCCTTGGGAACTTCTGCAGAGAACCTACCCCAATCTGAATGCAGAATTAACCTCTTTTTATAAAAATTATATATATATATATATTCATTTAAAAGGTAATACAGGAGCATTACAAAAATTTTTGGAAAACACAGAAAAATAGAAAAACAAATCACCCACATCTCACTCCCTCGCCTCCCTCTGAAGACTATATTTACTTTTTGGTACATTTGCTTCCTTCCAGTCTTCTTCTTATGCATCTGTTTCATGTAGTTCAGACTTACGTTTATATGATTTCATACATTTTCCTTTCATAATAAAACATTTTTCAGGTTATTACAAACCTTTTGTAAACATAACTGTAATGGCTGAGTAATATTTCTTCATGTGGCTATTGTCTCAATCCCTTCTCCCCATTTTTTGATATTTCATTTGAAGGAATGCCTTGTTAGTTTGTGTGAGCTTGAGGAGTTGTGCTACTCTTCTAGAGGATTCTGACTACTGGTGTGTTTTCAGAAAAGGCATCGTGATGGAGAGGAATGAGCTCTAGGCTTGTAGCAGAAGACATGGGTTCAAATTTTGAGTTTTTAATAAAGCTTTTAAACTTCATTTGCTCATTGTTCTTTTCTGATCCGTTTCCTCAGTTGCAAAATGTCATAACTTATGCATAATCTTCAAGTTTCCCTTGAGTTGAGACATTCTATGATAAGATTATGTGTTTTCCTCTTGACTTGTTTGAGCTCCTTATATATTCTGGTTATTAAATCCTTGTTGGATGGATAGTTTATAAATATTTTCTCCCATTCTGTAGGTTCTCTTCACTTTCTCTGTTTCCTTTGTTATGCTGAAGCTTTTTAGCTTGATATAATCCCATTGGTCTATTTTTTTTTTTTTTGCTTTTGTTGCCTGTTCTTTTGAAGTTTTATCAAAAAAAAAAAAAAAAAAAATCTTTACCCAGACCAATATCCTGTAGTGTTTCCCTGATGTTTTCTTTTAGTGGTTCCATAGTTTCAGGTCTTAGATTTAAGTCTTTAATCCATTTTGAGTTGACTTTTTTGTATGATGAAAGACGGGAATCTAGTCTCACTCCTCTGCATATAGATTTCCAGTTTTCCCCGCACCATTTATCAAAGAAACTGTCCTTTGCCCAAAGTATGTTCTTGGCACCTTTGTCAAAAATGAGTTGGCAACAACTCAATAGTAAGAAACAAAACCAAATAATCTGACTAAAAATGGGCAAAAGACCTGCATAGACATTTCTCAAAAGAAGACATACAAATAGCCAGCAGGTATGTGAAAAGATGCTCAACATCAGTAATCATTAAGAAAATGCAAATCAAAACTACAATGAGATATCCTATCATCCCAGTTAAAAAGGCATTTATCTAAGAGACAGTTAGAATGGTTATTATAAAAAAAAGACAACAAATAGCAAATGCTGGTGAGGATGCAGAGAAAGGGAAGTGCTCATACACTGTTGCTGGAAATGTAAATTACTACAGCCACTGTGGAAAGCAGTATGGAAGTTCCTTACAAAACAACAGAACTACCACATGATCCAGCAATCCCACTGCTGAGTACATACCCAAAAAGAAAGAAAATCAGTATATTGAAGACCATCTGCACTCCCACATTTAGTGTAGCACTATTCACAATAGCCAAGATATGGGATCCAACCTAAATATCTATCAATGGCCGAATAGATAAAGAAAATGTGGTATATATACACACAATGGAATATCATGCAGGCATAACAAATGAAATCTTGTCATTTACAGCAACATGGATGGAACTGAAGGTCATAGGTTAAGTGAAATAAGCCAGGCACAGAAAAACAAATATTGCGTGTTTTCACTCATATGTGGTAACTTAAAAAGTGGATCTCATGGAGATAAAGAATAGAATGGTGGTTAGCAGAGGCTTAGAGGTAAGGGGAGGTGGACTATAAAGAGAAGTTGGTTAATGGGTACCAAAATACAATTAGAAAGAAGGAATAAGTTCCAGTATTCAATAGTACAGTTAGGAGACTATAATTAATAATTTATTGTGTTTAATAATAATTTAAAATAGAAGAACTGGAATGTTTCCAACACAAAGAAAAGATAAATATTTAAGGTGATGGGTATCCCAATACCCTGATTTAATCATTACATATTGTATACAGGTATCAAAATATCAAATATCAAATATACCCTCAAAATATATACTGGTATTATATATCAAAAAATTTTTAAATGTTTTTAGTCAAAATTTTTTATTCTGTTTTCAGCAATTTTTAAAATTTTACATGTCAATGAATCAATATTGATATTGATGTTTACATGTTAATGCTTCAACATTTATAGAGGACATGGTTATATAGTTCAAAGTGTCAGGAATTGCTACCTACATTTTTTGTCAGTAGGCATACTCTTCGGCACCTGGGACCTCTAAATGAACTCTTTACAATTTTTCTATATTATCCCCAGTTTGTATAGAAAGCCTCTGTTTACGCATCACAATAGCCTACATACTCTGAACCAAATTAATTGCTGACTGAGGTACTTTGGATGTCCAAGAGGAACACTAGGCCCTTTCCTAATGGACTTATTGTTAGAAGTTTCTTCCTTATTTTATGTTTTTTTAAATAAATCTCACAGAGATTATAAACTTCTTGTTCCCATAAATGGTCCTGATGCCTGTTCAACCTTTAAAAAATGTTAACTATAAACAAAATTACTGCAGAAAGTTTCTATCATCTTTTTATCAGTGAACTTCTAGAAACTACACTTTGGTGAGTGCTATGTAATGGTTCTAACTGGCTGCTTGGAGGCCTGTAATAAAGGTTAATGCACTGAAAAACCTACTCATTTAAAATATGCTTTTGGTTAAAAGCAGACACTTTGGCCAAAACTGGGGCATGTGAAAATGGAAAGAAAATACTAGGTAACATTTCCATTCTTCATTAGCTCTTGAATATGAGATCAAAAGATTTTCTTCACACTCACATTTGCCTCTGACGCATTCGAGGTGAATGAGAAAAGTAAGCAAAAGTTTTGTCTGCTTCAGAGATAGAATATGGTTGCCATTTGACCTAGGTGAAACATTTTCCCATACACAATCCAGCAGATCAGAATGGGGAAGGCAGGATTCTATCGTGATAGAAGATTTGGGGAGGCAGAAGGGGGGGCTGCATGTAGGACTTTACATATGCTACGTCAATGACACCATGTTGGAGAAAACACACATTACTAATGAGGATACTAGAAAATGAAAGTACAGCCAGAACATTTCCCATCCTAGAGCCTGTGGCCTTCTTTTGGGTTTTATTTTTTAACTGAGAATTACTTTGCCACCTTACACTCAATAGTGCCAGTATAATTTGTTCCAGGAAGGCATGCTTTAAATAAAGTGAATTGCATGTGCTTTCCAAGTAGAGCTGACCATTTTCTCTTTCAAGCAATGGTATGGCAAAGTGTCTACTTAACCTGGGACCTTAAACTGGGAGCTTAATGAACACTTCTTGAAGATAGTTGATTACACAGATAATCAATCCTCAAAAAAAGTAAATCATTCTCTTACAGAGTATTGGATGGAATTTTCATTTTTCTCCAAAGCATAAGTTTTTCCTTAATTTATGGTTCAAATGATAAGTATTTTAAAACATAAAATGGTATAAGATGCAGTGGCTTAAGATTTCAAGACTGCATAATTTGAGTTTCAATTGAGACTTGGGGGATCTTCTTATGGTTTTGATTCATATAACTAGCTGTGCAATCTTGGTGAGTAACCTGAGCCTCCACTGGACTATAGATAATCAATAAGGTTCCTGGTAGTGCTGATATTCTATGATATTTTAAAAAACCCTATATGCTGGCAGAAAAGAAAAAGGCTATCTTGGGGCCATCACCCTGCTGAGAAATGTACATGACTAAAATGTCATCACTGATAAGTAAAGTCTCAAAGCATGGCCAGTTGACCTAAGAAGATGCTATTGAGTGAGGCACAAGTGCGACACCTGGAAGTGCAGCTGGGTGAGGGATATGGCCCTCTTCCAAGCTGTGGTCTCTCAGAAGATTGTGAAAGCATTTTGGCCTGGTTGGATCCCTCATAGCAATGCAAAGTAGACTATGGGGTGGAAATGGGCAGGCACTTTTTTGCCTGTTCACAACAGATCCCATTATCATTGGTGGTGGGTCCAGAGGCATCTCATTCATTGGGGAGGTTGCAGGTTTATGGAAGAAAGAGCCTGAGGGGGGCCATTGGGGTAGTGGTGGAAAGTCTCCTCAGCCATTTAACTGTTACAATCCAGGCCAACTCTGGGTCATCCTGATCATCCAGATCTGGTTTGACTTTTGTGAAAGGAGGAAGGATGAACCACCTAGTGGCAGAGAAGCATGGCCTCTTTGGAGCAGCAGTTCCCAGGAGGTGAAGTGATTAGGCAAAAGTTCTGGAGGCTGAGGCCTCTGCTCTCCTTTCACCCACAGAACAACACAGCCTAATTGTATCTCTGATGGCCATCACTGAGCCCAAGCATCAAAGCGTTCAAGAATAATTCAGAGCTTGAGGGGCTTACTGCATTCCATTTCCTGAAAATAAAAAGGCAGAAGCAGCTAAAAGTTGACTTTAGGCAGTCATTTCATTTCTATTAATGACACCGCCGAGGATTTTATTGTTAGCAACTTATTAGAAAAATAAAAGTTTCTCACGATGCTAATAATCAGGATGCTTTAAACAAAGACACTGATTTAAATCCCTTTAAATGTTTCAGTATGAAAATCAATGATCTGAACTCCCTCCAAAAAATGATTACCACGTAGAAAGAAGTTTATATATCTTAATAAATATTACTTTAAAAGCATGAAAACTTGCAACTGGAACCCATGCCTGGTTAATATATACCCTTTTGTAAACAAACTAACAACAACAACAACAAAAACTAGAATAAAACATCCAAATATAGCTAGTACACTTAGCACTGCTGATGTCACCTAATGGGGAAGCCTCTAAGACATCAGCTCCAGGGATGATGAGAGCACACATTTATCTGGGGCTTTTTACCATTTACAAAGCACTCTCATATACATTAGGTTTCCTCTCTGGCCACTGGAAAAATGCTTGACTTCCCTCTGGAATCCAGTCCTTCAGCTCTGTATAGCTGGCTCCAGGAAGAAACTGTTGGCAGCCACACTGCTGAATGGGTTGATGAGAGCAGCCCAGGGATAGCACTCGGAGCTCCAGGAAGTAGATTTCTCAATCACCATATCAGACATGGAGATTATTGATCTGGGCAATTCAGATGACTCTTCACTTTGCCTCCCTCATCATTATAAACTACGAATCTGCATTTGGCCATGGACTGGAGGTTATATAAAGGGACTTCAAATCAAGGAGCCATAGAATGCCAGAGCTGGACTGTTTCCCACTTCCTTAATTTATACACAAGAAAATGGAGCCCTCAAGAAGTTAGAAGAACTAGCCAGGGATTCGTCGTTGCATAGCAGCATAGTCATATGCAGAAGATAACTCCCTGTGGACACCTTACAGCCCACCAACATGTGTTCCCCAACAGTTGGCCAAAGAGGTTTCTTAGCCCTAGATTTATAATCTCCAGGAAAAAGCCCCATCTGAGTCTTCTTAAATGATGAAGCAAGAATTGCTCCACCGTATTCTTGCTTCCTGTTGCCTATTAGATTGACTTTCATTAATACAAGGGCATGGCTCAGTCAACTGCCTTCCTCCAATTCAGCCACAGTTGAGATCAGGGAAATTGCACCATGAGAATTTTTTTTCTAATCCAACAGTTAACTGATGCCACTTCAGTCCCAAACTCCCAGGGTATTATAGTTCATCAGGGTGGCCCTGAGACTATAAACAACAATGTGGTAAGTAGAACAAGCACTGGATTTCATGCCCAGCCCCAGCTGCTCAGCTGTCCCACCATGTGCCCTTGGTGAAATCACTTTAACTTGTTTCCTCTACTGTCAAATGGAGAGTATGGTTAATTCTCTGCTTACCTCTCAGAGCTAAAGTGAGATGAAATACTTTGTGAATGCACAATGGGGGTAGTATGGCAGTGTGGATTAGTACATGGGCTTTGCCAGCAAACCAGCTTGGGGACAAAACCTGGCTATGGCACTTATGAGCTCTGTGACTTTGAGTAAATACTCAGATTCTGTGAGCCTTGGCTTTCTCCTACAAAATAAGTAAGTACAATACTAGTATCTACCTCAGAGAATCATGCTGAGGAGTAAATGAAATAATGTATATACAACGCTTAGTACTGTGCCTGGTATATAGAGGCTCAATCAATGTTATCTCTTTTATGGTTATGCTAAATATGTAAAAGGAATTACAGCAACATATCATCTAAAATCAGAATAACGTGACCTTTCAAATACCATAAACCTAATGAAGCAGATGATTGACATAAGGTCAGATGGTGTTTGATATTTAGGACTTCGTAGGAATCCAGAGCCAGGGACTTTAGAAGAGCTCTGAAATGGGATCATTACCTATGATAACCAGAAAACTCAAGTATAGGGTCTTTCAATCATGATGCATGATTGAGATCCAAAGTATAAGTGGTAGAAACAGGAGTTGTGAAAAAAAATTACATATGCATATTCAGGAAGTTCAGAGAATTGTCCTGACCCAATTTGAAATCAACTCCTGAGATTGCTACCTATACAGAAGCTGGTTAGATAGATCCTGGAAGGGTCTACTATGTGTCAGATACCATCCTAGGCTTTGATGACATAGACTCAGGCCCTGCCCTCATAAGGCTTACAGTTTCTAGGGAGAACTGAGATTGAAATAGGCTGAGCACTGTGGCTCACGCCTGTAATCCTAACAGTTTGGGAGGCCGAGGCGGGTGGATCACTTGAAGCCAGGAGTTCGAGACCAGCTTGGCCAACATTGTGAAACCCCATCTCTACTAAAAACTACAAAAAAATTACTTGGGCGTGGTGGCGTGTCCCTGCAATCCCAGCTACTGGGGAGGCTGAGGCAGGAGAACCTGGAAAGCGGAGGTTGCAGTGAGCTGAGATCGTACCACTGCCCACTGCACTCCTACCTGGTTGACAGAGTGGGACTCCGTCTCAAAAAAAAGAGAGAAAAGATTGAAGTATTTCTTTAGAAGAATCATTCTGGACATTGCAGCCCATGTGTGGAAACTGCCCCAAATTCAGAGTCATGTCACTCCATTCTAAACTCATGGCAGCACCAAGTGGCTCTGTCCGAAGAGGAGCCACGGTTATGAAAGGTGGTAGTCCCCATGGTGCCCATGGAATTCTTTCCAGCAAGCTTCCCCAAATGAGCTGTAACCTGGATCGTAATTTCTTCCTAGAAAGTAAGTCAGCCTGACAGCATACCAGGTCAGAAACAAATGCTTAATATTTTAAGTGGAAATCTGTGGTGTGACATGATGACATGTGTATCACACGTTGTCAATTTGTTCATTTCCTGTAACTGACATGCACAGTGCAACTTTCTTAAACTAATCCTAATTTTTAGACACTACCCGAACCTGCATGACAGTGCCTTTAGTACGACTGTACAAATGGAGGATTTCAAGTTCTTTGAAACAAAGATTAGTACCTGGAGACTACAAATTAAACTCCTTTAAAAGTAATTCAAGTCAAAAATCTCACTTTAGAAAATCTGAAAATCAGCATTTCTATAAAACCAATCCCTCTTAAAAACAATTTCTGGTTTTATCTCAGTGGATTGGGGCATGGAGTCTCAGTTTTGATCCTTTCCTGTCAGAAAAGATGGCTTTCTGTTGGCCTACGGGTTCTCCCAGTAGGTTCCTTTTGGTTGGGGTTTTGTGACTAGGGGAAATTGGTGAGGCACTGGCAGGGGTGGGGGAGACAGTCAGAATGGGAGAAGCCAACAGAGGGAGAAGGGTCAGAGGGAGAGAAGGTTGTGCCTGCAGTTTCTAAAATATTCGGTTGAACTGAGAGTTCTGAAACTGGGGCCTGAGGTGGGTTTTGCTAGGTAAGAAAGGAGCTTTTCCAGCCAAAACAAAGGCATTAGGCTGGTGAGGGGGAGTATTCCACCATAGCTAAGATGCCATAGTGAGTGGAATGAGAGGGAAGCAACTGGATCCCCACCACAGGCTAGATGACAGCTAGATGACCCCAGTATGACAGCAGCAGTGGGCCCTCCCTCCAGATAGCCTTTTTATTTCCTCTTGCTACTGCCCTCCATGCAAAGTGCTTTCTCCACCCTCCTGCTAGCTTTTTGGTGGAGGAAGCATGGCTTGGATCCAGCATCCTGCCCACATGTTTGAGGATTCATTGAAGAGCTGAGTTCTAGGGCCCCTGGCCCCATCAGAGCCACGGATGCACAGAGTGAGGAGGAAGGGAGAAAGCACACCTTGGATCAGAGAAGACAAAGCTTCTATCTTGCTCAGTAGCTGATGCTCAGTGAGCAGGTGCCAGGCCCGGCCAAAGAGGCCTCAGGGACAGCCTGGCCCCTTCAGTGTTGCCTGTCTTAACCTCATCTCTGTTTGAGGAGAGTGGCTAGGAAGTGGGGGCTCCTTCCACCCAACCCAACCTTCCTGCTTGGTTTTGATCTCAGGAAGGGAAAGCCCCTGCCCCTCTTTTGAAGCAGCAGCCGGCACCACTTGTCTCTTCTCTCCTTCCCGCAGGCACTTCTGTTCATAGTGCTGCCTCTTGCTGGCTCCTTCTGCTTCTGCTTGGTCCTCCTGCTGATTGGGAAGAAAGTGCACCAGTGAGGTGATGGGGGGCTGGAACTCTTAAAGGGGCAGCTTTATTTCTGTTGAAAATTTGTTTGCCTAGCATGTTATTTTTTTTTCTATCTTTCCCCATTAAATACAATTTTGTGAGAAAAGTAAACCAGAAATAAAGTGACCATAATCACCATTTAAATGTTAATTGTAGGTGTTCTGGCTTTCCTCTAAGGATTTTCAAGCAGATCAAGTACTAATGCTGGCAACCATCATCAGCAATCAAATCCAATTTGAGGATTTTTTACTGAAGGCATAAAGGTCGGGGGCCACAGATCTGAGCGAGGCCGTCCTTGTTGCTTTAAGGGCTCTCAGTCCAGGGCTGAATACTAGAATTCCATGAATAAATAAGTCACAGAGATAATTTGAAAATCCCCAGCACCATTTTTGCCAATAACTGTTTCTCCATAGAGTCTTTTTGACCAGAGGAGTTTACAGGTAGCCAAATCTACAAGCCACTTTGAGATGTCGTCTCCCCTTGGCTGCCCACTGGTTGATTTTCCATCAGTCAACCAGCATCTGTTGAGGACTTGGTCCCATGCAAAGTAAATAGACATCTAAGCAAAGTCCCAGTGGATGCTTGAGTTGCAGAATCTTAGAGCCTTGTTTCTCTATGTTAATGATGTGCTTTCTTTCCCCCCGTAAAACAATGTGAAAGAGACCAGACCCTGGGCCCCTTGTAGCTCAAATGCTGAAGTCATTCATGCTTGGAGCTGAGGCACCTTCTACTGGCTCCAGCCCTGGAAGAGCTTCCCAGGTTCTAGGTTCTAATCTGGGATCCCCCTCTAGGGGAAATATCAGATCTTGAGCATTTTAATGTCTTAGGGTCTCTGTTTCTTCAGGAAAAAAATGAAGTTAAAAGGTATTTGGATGATTTTGGTAATATGAGATAATACTGTAGAAGCATATTCAAATAGAAGGGAGAATGTCAGAGAAGTATGAGCCAGAGGGCTGCTGGGTGTTTTATGGAGAAACTGAGGCCCAGATAAGTGACTTGCTTGGAGTCACACACAGAGCTACCGGCACCCTGCTCTGTCAGGGCTCAGTCTGCTGTCCTTCCCAAGAGAGTTCTAGCCTTAGGATTTGAAAAATGTGCCAATACTATTCCCTCTGTATAACGACACGAAGAAGGCAAATTACATGCCTAGGACTCCAGAATGCTCATGTCCTGAAATGCCAGAAAGCGGTCCCGCCCCTTCCCACAGACCTTTCTCTGCACGGAGGCCAGGGAACCTTTCCCTCCAGGGAATTGGCTAAAGGGATCCACTCCTTCCTGGATCAGAGGTGGAGGTTGAAGGGAGTAGGAGGCTCGGTTAAACCCTCCACGTGCAGAAAGAGAATTTCAGGCCAGAAGGGAGACGGGCAGCCGGTGCGTGGGATACTGGGCACACACCCAGTGGTTTTCCCATTTCTCAGAGGAGGAGCTAGCAGAAGTCTTTTGCTCAAGGCACCTGGTGACCGTGCGAGGAAAGTGACAGTGGAACCCAGTTTAACAGTATCCTAACCCCGAACTCAAGGACCACGCAAGGGCAGTCATTTGTTCCTATCCTTGCTGCCCACTGAATCCAGGGCCTATAGCTCGCTGACCTACTAGGTGCGCGCCTAAAGGCATGCCTGGAGGGCCTGGGTGCGGGCACGTGGAGCCACGGGGCTGGTGAAGGTGACCGCCTTCTCCTTCCTGGACCCGCGTGCTACGCACTACAGACCTGAGGGATGCTCAGGCCCGCAAAGTTTGCTCCACTACTCGGGGGCTCAAGGAGCTGTGCTTGAGGTGGCAGGGGGCGACCTTCAACCCCACGGCTGTTTGTGCTGTCTTTTCTAGTTCAAAACTAATTCCCAGTGGTGGGGGTGGGCTGGGCTTCAGAGAGGGGTCCCATTCCCGAAGCCCGCGTCCTGGTCCCGCCAGCCCACCTCCTGTATCCCTGCCACGGCCCCTGCGTCCCGGGTCCGGGTCCGGGTCCTCAGCTCTGTGGCCGCTCCCACTAGCTGATTTTGACAGTGGGGGGTGGGAGAGGGTTCCCGAAAGGCAGGGGCGGGCGCGGCGAGCCCCTGCCAGATCCGGGGATGATAACGTGCCTGCTCCATGTCGCGGCTTCTAGCTGTCCAGGCTCCGCCCCCTGTGAGTGTGTAAGTGTGTGATGCTGCCGCGGCCGCCGCCGCCGCCTGTGCAGCCGCTGCCGCCGCCGCCGCCGCCGCCGCCGCCGCCGCCGCCGCCGCCGCCGCTGCCGCCCCGGCTGCCGCGCCGCGCCGCTGCCTCTGCCCCGGCCGCCCCCGCCGCCGCTGCCGCCGCCGGCCCGCAGCCAGCCAGGCGGGCGGCCCAGCCCGCCTGAGCCCGCAGCGGCTGCCGCCGCAGCGTCGGGTCGCTGGGTGCGCGGGCTACCGCGGACCGAGCGGACCCGAGTGGGCGACCAGGCGCTTGCCCGCCCAGTGCCACTGCCGCCGCTTCCTCGCCGGAGCACAGGACCAGACACCTCCAGCGCCCGCTGCTGCTGCCGATGCGGCCCGGACACTTTTAGCTGGGCGGGAGGGCTGGAGAGCCGGGGGCCGCCGAGAACCGCCAGCGAGCTGTGCCGAGAGCCGCGCCGACCCGCTGCGATCAGGGACAGGCGCCCGCCCGCCGCCGCCGCCTGGCCGCTATGGATCTATTCGACTTTTTCAGAGACTGGGACTTGGAGCAGCAGTGGTAGGTGTTGATTTTTGCCTTCTCCTTTGATGAGCGAGTCTCCTGGCGAAGTCTGAGGTTTTCGCCTTTGTTAAGAGGAGCTGAAGCTGTCGTGGGGGGCGCCCCGGACTCCCTCCCACTTGCTCTCAGCCACCTCTGGCCCCGGCCGCGCTGACTCCTAGGTCGGATGCCGGGGTGGGGGGAGGTGCGGGAAGAGGGAGGGATGCGGACCCGAAAGCGTCGCTTTGCGCTCCAAGTCTAAAGAGTTGCATTTGGCTCACATCGAATTCGGTGCCGCCCGAGGGCTGAACCGCACGACCTCCCAGGAGCTTTTCTCTCGGAGCGGCTTGCCGGTCTGGCCTCCTTGAGCCCCGGATGCCGCCCGCCCGAAATGTCTCAACTTTCCAGGTGCCCAACGCCCGCGGCGGGCCATGGGGGAAAGGCAACGGCCAGGTGCGGCCAGCAGCCCTCTGCTTCCTTGGTGGCCACCGCCCCCGCTGCCGCCACCTCCATCCCTGCGCTGCGCGGCGCGCACACCTTTCCTTCTGCCGACTCAGCCCAAGTTCCCTGCACTCCCGGGTGGAGCAGCGGCTTTGGGGGCCACCACTCAGGGGACCTTGGTTCGAGGCCGACTTCGGCGCTTGGCTTTCAAGACTGAGGGTTTTCGGAGTTGGCCCCCCAAATCCGCAGCTCTGATGTCAATGCACATTTAATTACCGGATGGACCCCCTTCGGCCTCCCACTGGGAGGCAGCCGTAGTTTTTTGTAAGGGACCTCCAGCTCAGATTCAAAGGTTGAGTCAGCTCTTCACAAAATACCCTAAACTTGTCGCTGAGACATTTTGAAAGATGGTAGAAAGGTGACTGGGGACCTGGAAAGTTGTTAACTCTCTTAGAGATGTGCGTGCGCGTGTGCATAAATACTGATATACATATCTATTAACTTTTCAAAAACTTCACCTACTACAAACATTATCACAGTTTATTTGTCATAATACTTAAACGTATCAGATTCCCCCCGCAGTCTAAGGAATTAGATGGGGAGGGGGCGCAGTGGTAACCGCTTAAAATTGCATTCTTGGTTATTGCCTTTTAAAATGTATTTAGAATGATCTGTAGTACCTACCAATAGTGCGAAATCTTTTGCAATGTTAAACTACTAGCGGCCGTTGGTTATGAATGCTGTGTATTTTTACAAGGATTTCCCCTGTTGATGTGATATTTTAGGCAATTTCCTTCTTTAAAAAAGGGTCATATGCTTAGCCAACAGCTTCATTATGCCAATCATGCCTCCTTTAGTTGCAAATCCAAGATAGTCAGAACTTAAATACATTTTATTTTACAGCAATTCCGGATAAATCCTTGAAGCGCAAATTATGCTGTATCAGTATTAATCTATAAGGCGTTTTGGATACCACGGTTTTATCAGCTCTGTAGAAATACATTGTTACATTAAAAAATGCTGTTATTTGAAAGTAAAAATTACTATAAAATTATTGCTCAATTAGATATTATGCTTCTGCACACAGCCTTTACTCTGCTTCACTAATTTATTTTGCAGACAACTGATAACCATAGCACTCTATTTGCATACAATTTGCCTAATATGTGGTGTGGGTTACATCGTTAATTTAACAGACATTGTTATAATTAATTTCATGGGTATAGTTCAAATGTTAAACATATACAAGGTATTAGGTTTTTAGAAACATGTTTTTTATATTAATTCCGGTTTAATCTTATGCATATGCAATTGCATATTTAAAGGGAATGGACTCTTTTATGTTTGATTTCTTTAAAAAAAATGATAGGCTCCCTCACCCCTGTGGGAGGCTTTCTTTTTCTTATCTTAAGGAAAATGCAAAACCTTTTTTTCCTCCAGATCCCTAACTGAGACACATCAGTTAAGAAGCATAGACTTGGACACTTCGTGAATATTATGTGAAATACTGATTAATTAGTGTAACGCATCTGCATAAATAAGCCTGTCCTTTCCCTCTGTACATGATCCAGGAAAATTTCTCCTTCTTACTGCTCGTGAGTGGCACACTTCGTGATGCATCTCTGTTTATAAACATTTGTAATGTGGTTGTGCTTTTGTGTTTTGTATAGCTCCACAGAGAAAAGGAACATAAATGTGACAATAGTGGATGAACTAAAAAGCTTGACATTGTCTTGAGTGGAAATTGGTACCTTTCCCACTTCTCTTTGGAAGTCCAGAGCATGCCAGTTACGTGTTCATTATATGTTTACTTCCATTCCTTGGGAGTAAATAGCTACTTAAAGTGATGGCCTCCACTCCCCACGCCCCCAAGCCCCCAGGAGGGCCAAGAAAGGAAAAAAGACCAGCAAAGTTAACGATCTTATTTACCTTGAATTTATTCTTAACATTCACTTATGGAACAGTAAGCTCTGAGCTGTCTCTACTGCAACCCTAGATGTCTGACAATAAATGGATCAGGACAGCTTAAAAACAAACTCATTTTCCTAGACATAATGAAGAAAGACTTTACATACACAGGCATATGTGTTATTTGCAAACACTTGACTGTAGTAAACAAAAAGTGTGTGCCCATTTATAAACACACACATTTGTTAGGGCAAATGCAAATGGAAAGGATGGGGTACTAATGATGCTGCAGTGTGCATGTTATGTGCAGTGTTTTGGAATGCTCACATGCCTAATGGAACATACCACTGGATTTCACAAACTGCAAGAATAACTTAATGGGTCATGCTCTGGACTCGATTAAAGGGCCAAAGCTCAAGTTCTTTAAGATTCTTGGATGAATGAGCAATGTTCACCTGAGTCTGAATTTAATATAAACCATTCTGTGAAAGAAAAAGATGGCACAGATGTCTGTCTGTGTGCATGAAAGACATCACTTGCTCTTAAAGAAAAAGATAAATTAAAAAAAAATCAAATTTCTTCATTTAAATCATTCCATAGACTTGTTTTTGGTAACCAAGTAAATGAATACTTGAGGTGACTGAAGATCAGGTAATGATGTCATTAATCCCCATTTAAGAGGGAAAAAAAGCAAATTCAGAGGGCCTACAAAATGTACAGCCTTTCAGTTCTGTAAGCACCTCCCACCCAGTATTGATTAGGTATTGCTTTGTGACAAGCCAAGGTTCTTTGTGGGGATGCTTACCTTTTCTTCATTGGAAGGAAGGAAAGGAAAGAAAAGAAAGAAAATACAGAAAGGGACACATTCTTAAAAAAAAGAAAAGAAAAGAAAAGAAAACCACCGTGATAGCAAAATCAGAACGTTCAAAAGCCTAGTTAAAATCGTAGTTAAGTGACTGTGACAGTGGCTGGCTTCTCACCGCAAGGGACAGCATCAATTGTTTGTAGTTTTTATGTGATGTCTCACAAATAGCCTAATTAGAGGCAAGCTTGCAAACGGGCAGTTATACAGGAAGAGACTTAAACTCACTAAACTGTTATATAAATAGAAAGTTCAAAGGTCTGTGTGGGGCTGTCAAGGCTGAGAAGGGGCCATGTGCCGGCCAGGCCTCTCCTCCTCCGGTAAAGGCAGCCCCCAGGGCCTGCCCCAGCAGTCCGAACTGCACTTTCCCCAGTTTTCTTCGACCTTGCGAGGGCGGGGCAGTGCCGGAGAAGGGGCGGGGGGCTGCTTTCTAGACAAAAGTGAACTGTTTCAGCTCCAGCCGGGCATGGCCCATGCACTGCAGCAACCCGGCTGCCTCCTCCTGTTCTGTGCGCACAGGTCTTCCGAGGCCTCGTTAGCTACAATCCTCCAGAAGAGCGGAACAGGACTGTTTATGGATGGGAAGGTGTGGGAGATGGGGGGAACACAACCTTTGCCAACTTGGAGATACTAGGGCTGTGGTGGGGTGGGGGGAGGGGAAGTCCTGTTTTGAATAAGGCCTAGAGATTCCCAGCATTTCTTGTTCTCTACCTCCATCCATTTATCTTTCCCGTTTTCCCTCTGTGGTCTCTTAAAAGGGAGACTGCCTATGGTCTGTTTTCTTTGCTAGTACAGTATGCATTCTCCCGTGTGTTTGAGCATTCATTCAACAAACCATTTTAGGTTGTGTTTCTTAAGGGAATGTGTGGGTAGGAGAAATTTAAGTTGGTGAAATTCACTAGTAAGGTCTCCTCCGCAACTCCCCAAACCCTCCAAAGAATAAAAGCTATCTCAGTACATCTTAAGAGGCACATCTATTGGACACGGAAGAAAATTATCTCATGGTAGAAATCAGTTTAATGATACATGAATTGTTTTGCTAATGATTCAGTCAAGCATTTAACAACTTTAAAATATACAAATCAAGGTAGAAAATGACTGCCTGGAAAATGAGTCCATCATTATAGACATGAATGAGATTCCATACATTTAAGCATCCTGTAGATGGATACAAATTATATTGTATTTAAACATGCTAATTATTGTTGAATAGAAATGGCTTTAATGTACTAACCTTTAACATGTAATAAATGCCCATGATTCTTAGCTAAGATTATTTTGCCATGCAAAATTTGCACTTATTTAACATAATTTCAAAATTGTAGAAGTCCAATGAAATGGCCTTCTCTGGAACAATTTAGAGCTGTGGCCTTAAGAGCTTGTAACTGTAGGTCATACCTCAAAGCGGAAAACTGCCATATACTTGATTAGCCTGTCACGTAGACAAAACAATTTTTGCTGCAGTGACTGCATTTTTCACTTGTAATTTTGTTTTTCTTTTTCTGATTGCTGTTGGATAAAGAGAGATTTCAAAAACTTGCTTACTGATAAATGGAAAGAAATGTTACTGATTAAAGAACTCAAGACCAAACTTGAAGAAACCTTTTTGAGTGTGTGTGTCTGTGTGTGTGTGTGTGTGTGTGTGTGTGTGTTACCTGTGGTAGAACTCAACATTATCATTGCTACTATAATTTGAGTGTTTACTCTGTGCCACAAGCTTGGACTAAATTCTGTAAAGACTCAATTTCGTTTAATCCTTCCAACAACTTTCTGAGATAGGACCTGTTATGATCCCTGTTTTACAGATGAAGCAATGAAATCACACAGGTACTCACTCAGTGATGCAATCCAGGTTTCAGCATAGATGGAGCTGACTCCAGAGCCTGCATCATCAACAACTGACGTTTTGTCTGAGCCTTTCCAACATGTGGAATGCTCTTCCACATGCTATCTCATTTGATCATTGTGAGTTAGAATGTTCAGGGGTTCTTGCCATTTTATTGAATGGCAAATTCATTCATTTTTTGTGTGGATCCGAATATTTATTTAGCCGTCACTGAAACAAATGGATTGGATTGTGTATATTGTACTTGTGGAAGAAATCTGTGGAATTACCATGTAATTTGACCAGCCATGGAACTCTGCTTTTTCCTTTTAATTAGAAAGAGAACAGTCTATATACTGATACAATCTCTTAGCATGTCATTTATGGATGCCCCCTTCATGAAAATGTGAGAATGGAAAATTATATATATATATATAAAGGAGACAAATCTCAAGTCCTTGAGAATTGTTCATTTAAATCTGAATGCTCAAATTTTGAAGATTTGATACTTGAACATAAAGAAGACCATGGTATATTTTTTGGCTCATTTGGAGCCTCAAAACTGGAGGTGGGAAGTTGGTAACATTTCTTTCCAAAGCTTTCTAATCTTACCATATGTATTAATTGATTGGACCCTCACAATAACCTTAAAGATTTGTTAGGATTGATATTTTAGCTTCATTTTGTAGATAATAAAACGGAAGTTCAGAGAGGTTAAGTTACTTGCCTGAATTTGCACAGTAGGTGAATAGTCTTAGGATATGTGTTTGTTGCTCTTTTCGCTGCATCACCACTGGTGCATTAAGTTGTTAATATTTAAATATCCACGTTGCTTCCTAGAGAATGGTGTGTCACCCTCTGGCATCATTTAGCACAGTGTTTTTCCATCAGAGGTACTCAATAAACATCTGTTGATTGATGTTACAGTCACATTCGACTCAAAGACTGTTCCATGCAAATGCAGGTCTCTTTCAAGGATAGTTACTTACTAAATCCTAGTGATAATACTGTCCCTCTGCCTGTGTGATTGTATATTAGTTATTTGTAATTCTTTTCATGTCTCTTAGCCAGTCTGATCTTTTTGCAGAAAATAAAGAGAATAACCAATGGATACAGAAGAAGATTAATAGGAAAAGGCAAAAATAGTATCCATGTAATTGGCATGTTTTTAAGAAACAGAATTTCTATGAATTCCAAGATATGTTTAGCCCAAAAGAAAAACAAGAGGAAAGAATATCTTTTAAGGTACAGCATTATAGGAATTAACGGACTGGTATTGTGTCTCAATCTGCATTGAGAACATTAATAAAGAATGTGTAACAAAAATCTGAGGAAAATATGAGTGGTCGGAGGGTTGGGATTCCTCCAGCTTTCCTTGAGTTTCAGTCTTTATGACTTGTATTTCATCATGAGAAGGCTGTTTTTCTACTTAACTGTAGCAGATCCACACCATAAATTATCATGACTGTTAAACAAAGGTCCAGCCCTGGGTTCTTCTAATGTAAAACTTTTATGTTACACTTTAATGAAATTTTATATGCATGTTCAAAGCAAGGCACACTTTACACCGTAGAGAGGGTGATGCACTGAATTGTTGAATTTATTTTGAAGTAAATCTTTTAGATGACCTTAGCGTCTAACATCTACCTACTTACTGAGCTGAAAAAAAGTTATCTGAGAGCTGAAAAAAATGACATGATTTAAGCAGAGCTGACAATAGCACTATAGCTAGAATGTGATTTTGATTATGGATTGCTTACTTTATGGGATGCTGTTTTTCAAACATACCTGTGTATTTTGCTTCATTTGAAAAATAAAATCAGCTAATGTTTCAAAGTAATCTTCGATTTGGTTCTTCAGTAGGTACGTTCTCTTATATGAAGGTGTAAAAGCCACACTTTGAGGATTAAGCTAAGGAAACAAGCTTTGTTTTCATTACAAAATCAAAATCACTCATCTGTTTATTTTTCCAATGCTTCGTTTGTTGGAGAAATAAAAGACATTACTTCCATCCTATGGAGAACAGTTTGTTTTGTTAGATTTCCAAATAATAGTTCTCTGCATCATCTACCATCTTCAATGAAAACCAGATCTCAGTAGCAGATACTGGTTCACTTGGTGACCTTTATTAAACCATTTTCCTGGAGTCAGTTTTTGTGTTTTGTAGGCAACGTATCTCCTGGAAATAAATAGCTTTGAAATGGTTTCTTTTTTGTATAAGTAAAAAATAATATGCTACTTGTTTTGTAGTGGTGCTGAAATTGAAATCTCAGCTTTAACAATCATTGGAAGAAGTTGCTTGCTAAAATTGTGATGTCTTCTTGGTGTTTGGGTTTCTAGTATGGTTTGATCAAACCAACCAAGCAGATGGAATGTGTTGTTATAAGGTCATTTTAACCTGTAGACTACGGCAATATGTACATGACAACCTGACTATCTGTTGAACAATGAAAAATGCAATTACGTAGGCTTTATTTCCCCCTTCAGGATGTCAGCCAACAAATTTTTTAATGAATTAATTTTCCAAAGGACTGATTGTTTTCATGCCAGGTCGGCACAACCACAGTGACTAAATTAGACTCAGTGTGATGGATGTTTCTGATGAAGTGCCGTGGAGAGGTCTCATCAATTTGCTATTATTTATTTGCTGCCAAAGTGCTTGGCTTTGGTGTGTAGACGTTAATCAGGTCGTAGAAGCTAGAGTTTTAAGGCTGGAGGGCCCCTTTGGATCATGTGATCCAAACTCCTCATTGTACAGATAAGGAGACTGAGGCCCAGGATGGGAAAATGACTTGCCCAAGGACATCCAGTCAGTAATTGGCAAAGCCGGGTCAGGAGCCCTTGTACCCTGGTTCAGTGTTTGTCATCTCTCAAGAACTGTTTGTATTGCCTACCTACTCTGTGCCCAACACTCTGCTAGTCAGTCATTTTTAGGGAGAGATGAAAGGACCGTAGAAGATGACCTCTGGCCTCACAGAATTTACATTGGAAAGTATAATTAGAATTAGGGAAATACTATGACATGGACTGTAAGTAAAACAGGAATTCTGGGAGAGAGAGAGAATGCAAGCTAAGTAGGCAAAACAGTCCTGGTCAAGGCCCATGAAACTCTTTTATTACTATTAGTGCACTTCAGAGTGAAATGGAAATCCAGAAATTTTTATTGTTTAGGGGACCCGGAGCATTGAATACTCAACATAAGACAATTGACTTTGGACCCTGAATTATCTGGTTTGACAGTAGCTCACATTCATCACATAATTGCCTGAGTCCTCTTTTGCTGTGTGAATGGAGTATTCTCATTAACACAGACCAACATTTGCTGAGGGACAACCACAAAAGTCTCCCAAGAAGAGCTTTGGAAACATTTGTGCAAACATTCTTCAAAGAAATACCAAATGAAAATGTGTTTTTTTTCTGAAATAATTGAAACAAGTGTTTGTAAATTGGTACAATTGCTAGCAAAATGGCCATTTTTCAAAAGAAGGGTATACTGTAGCTCTTGAGATGTTCACAAATACATTGTTTCTTTTGCTCTTTCTCCTTTTCTAAAAATATAATTAACTGTTTTGTTTGTTAGGTGTGTACCAACATTTTACCATTAGAATTTCTTTTTTCCTAAAAAGGGAGTTGGTGCCTTCGTACTGTGTGAATTGTGTTGACATCTGTGTTTACGATTAGCTGTTTGGCCACCAAGTAATTCTTTGCCTGGCTATGTCATTGTTCAAATCTCAACTCTATCTCTGGGAAGCTGCTAGTGAGCAGCAGGACCTCCTGCTTCCTCCGTCCCTCAAACTCCCATACTCCTACCCAGTCTGTTCAGATGCCTCTCCTCTGTGCTTTCATACCTTCCTGAGCTGACTTCCACCTGGGCTGGATCCTGCTTTCTCCCTTCCCCAACTCTTCCCATGCAACTTTGTTGTTGTGAAAGATGAGAATGTGTCTTTTATTTTTGTGTTCCCAGTCCCTGGCCCAGAATAATAACCTAATGCTGCCAGTTCAGAGTGCAGCATCATTCATTTATTCAGTTCATTCAGGCACTATGCTAGTTCTTCAAAATATTAAATCTAGCTGAGAAGACCTAAAAACGGTATTAATAGTAATAATTTAAGCTAATAATTACAGGTAACATTTCCTATGTTACAGGTTCTGATTTGTGTTATCCGATTTCTCTATTAACAGAGCAGGAAACTGGGACAGAAGGGTTCAGCGACTTGCCCAAGGCCATACTGGTAGTATGTTGCTGAGCTTGAATTAATCCACAGGCCATGTGAATCCTTAGCTTCTCTGCTAATCTATAAGGATACCCTAGGATAGATGCTATACTAGTGGCAAGCCCTGCTTGTGCTTGGGCTCTATAGTAGACTGGGCTAATGAGGACTTTACCACTCATCCTTAGTATTTACAAATTGGGTCTAAGTTCATTATCAAATATGAGGCATGACTTTCCAGATATCTACTCCAACAAGAGACACACAAGTCTGTTCCTCTTTGGTGTAAGTGGCAGATTCTGATCTTGGGAGGAAGGTATACTGGTTCAAAAACCTGAACCTAATTCAAACTTGACAAGAATGTGAGCTCATTAAGGGTGGAGAGTTTTGTTGGTTTTATTCACTGCTGACACTGCAATGCTTAGAACAGTGTGTGGTGCACAGTAGGTGCTCAGTTATTTTTTGGTGAATAGGTAGATGGAATGATAGACAAAAACCTGCTTAATACTTTGTGTGATTAAATTTGTGAAGAGATAGCTCAAGAGGTGTAAGAATGAGGACCAAGAGAAGTGCTAAAATCACAATGAGCAGACAGGTGGGTACAGGTAGGTGTGTTGCCTTGCCTTCTGTACATACTTTTCTGAAATAGGATGCTTATAGAAATGTTATAAATTAAATGTTCTTTATGTGCATCTTACTTGCCAGGAATACCGTAGGGAAGTCTTTGTTGATGAGCAAAATCTCTCCCAAACAGCCCTAAACTTATCAGATTTGTGTACAGCATTTTGAGATTTTAGATTTTTGTGTACAGCATTTTCTTGTCATGAGGTATACCTACATTTAATATCTGCAACAGTGCTTTAAGGGTAATTGGGCAGCCTTAAAAAAAAAAGGTGTAGTAACTTGTTACCATCCCTGAATTGTAGCTTTCATCTAGTACAAAGGGGGGATAACAGACTTCAACATTTGCTGAGTATTTTTCTCCGCGCTTTTGTAACGTTGTCTCCTCTTAGCTAGATGCCCGTTTGCTTAATAGTTCCCGCTTTGGAGGCTAACCTGGGATTTGAATTTTCCTAACATATATTTTTACATTGAACACATTTTCTATTTATGCCTCTGGAGGATTCAAATTACAATTTCATCCCAAGGATGTGCAGAAAAGTTTCCACACGTGCTGATTTTAAAGAAATCTATAAGATAATTTGGTAGGGAAAGAGGATTAGCATTTACAGAGCATTATGGCATATACTTTACAAACATCACCTCATTGAACAAGGACCCTAAAAAATAAGGGTTTTCACCCCCATTTTACAGACAAGAAAGATGAGAATCAGAGGGGTACACCCCTAACTTTCTCAAAGTCACATGATTAGCCAACAGCAGAGCCCCAAGTCCAACTCAGGTTTCTTGGGCCCAAAGACCACATCCCTTCTGCTATAACCTGCCTTCACAGAGTTGAAGATGAGCTGATAATAGAGTTTGTTGGGTACCTTCAATGTACTAAAAGTAATGTGGAAAAACACCCCTGAACATTATTTTATTATTTTCAAATTGCAAAATTAAAGGTGTCAGGATGCAGGTCAGGAAGACAGACAGAAACATGAGATGACAAAGAAATTTAGGAAATTTTAGTGGGAGTGAAACACCCAGCCAGTTAAATGAAGCAGACTTTAAGCTACATATTAGGAGGACAGACTGTAGATAATTAATGGGTCTTTAATAAATTGGGTCTCATAATCAGAAATGAAACTTATCTGAATATTAATTACAGATCCAGAAAAAATGCAAGAGCCATGATGGACCTTTTTAAAAAAAATAACAGTTAAATGTTAACTATATCTCTTTTGCTACAATTAGGCATTTTGGCCATTTAGTTTTGAAGTTCTGTAACAGTTTAAACTTCAACAGTGCAAATATATTCAGACTGTAAGTGGTAAAACTTCCTGTCAAGAATGATGAAGACTGTTTTCATTGTATTCTGATTAGCATCATACTTAGAAACTACAGTGAAATGCCAATGAGCACTCTAATGCCATTGAAAAAGGACACCCACGACACACGTCTGCCATACATACTTTGGTAAACAATTGCAGTGACTCATATACCTTGAACAAAAAATAGAAATTTGATCAACCTATTTCAAAAGGCTTGAAAGTTAAAGCGAATTCTAAATGTAGATTAGTAGCAAATGATGACAGCCAAGCCAGCATTACCTCAGTTGATTAATTTATAAGGATATTGGTCAATGATTTTACCCAACAGCTACGCATAGTAGAATCCTAATGGGATCTGTCTGTTAAAATTACATAAAGTAGGGCATTTGATTTATTTCATAGTTTCTCAGAGCTCAATTTTAACTTCATACAAATAATGCATTAGTCACCCAGGATAAATGACATGCTGAATACAGTTGTGATTTTGTCTGCTTCTCATAATCAGATTTAGCAAAGGATTACATCTGTCTTTGTAGTTTATTCCTATCCTAAACATTTGTAGGTAGAGTGGGATCTTTTCTCTTGTTTCATATCTCGTTAGATGACATCGGACCATCCAGCCCTTTCCCTGCCTCTGGGTTTCTGGAGTGTGTAAGGAAGATTCACTGATTTAGGGGTAGTACTAAGAACTACCACATCTACAGTGAGGCACATAGAAGGGTTTAAAGACGTTGCTACTCTAAATATATCATTAGGAGTATATCACTATCTATTTATATATTGCTGAACGATTTTATTTCATTTTTAAGATTTGGTTACATTCTTAAACCTGGAGTACATATTATTATAAAGCAAATTCAGTAAAATAACACTAAAATCATTCAAATGCGCTAAAGCAGGTGAAAATGTGGGGATCACCAAACTTTGCCTACGTGCCTATACTCCAAACCATCATCTCCCTCACCCTTGACCCTGGGGTTGGGAGAGTCTTTTCTTTGTGCTGTGAATGCTGCAGTAGCTGCTCCAGGGATGTACCTCTCTGAGCCTTACAGTGTCAACCCAAATGTGATTTCAATGCCAAGACCTGGCTGACTTTTACACTCTGATCACCATTATTTCTGTCTTTTAGTAGCTTCATTGCCTTAATGGAGGACGGAAAGGTGAGTTTGCCCAACTGAAAAACTTTGAAATCTGTTCGGCCTACACTTGCACACCAAAATTAGAAGAAGGGGGAGGTTTTAAATTCGTGGCTGGCTGGAAATATGTGGGTTTATATTTTTAAGATGTAAAAAATATGATTAGGAGAAAGTTCTCAGAACTTCATGGACATCATGTAACTCTTAGAAAGTAAGGTAAATTATAAAATATGGGATAAGTTTTCTTAAATTGAACATAATCATAAAAATTCAAGGCAAAGCAACATATTCTGCAAAATTTATGAGATTTGAGGGTGGGGGAAGAGTTTGCAAAGCTTGACAACCTCCAGTGCATCTGACCTGGCACATTCCTGTTGGTAATGAGAACCTTATGGGGTGCTGGGCCTCGGTTTTCTTAGGCAGGGCCTGCTCCCCAAGGGTATCATAAATGATACGCGAGTCAGGAACTTCATGGCTCATGGTATTTCTCAGGGATATTTTAGTTAAGCTGTCCCACCCAGCTACAGTGGCAGAAGTTGGGAAGAGGGCCCACTCATAAATCTTTATTGAACTTTAATTAATTAATTAATTATTTGCCATTGTTCATAGGAATTTGAAAGGGAAAGACATATTGAATAACCATGCCTATCTGACTTTATAGAAATGGTCCAGGTTCTTGGGGTTAATGTGACTTTTATTATTTGATAGGCACGCATTTGTTTAACAATGACAATAACCGGAAAACCACAGAAGTATAAATACCAGTAATGAAAAGTTCAATGCAAAGAGGAAAAAAAAGAAGAAGAAAAAGTGCAATGCCAAAGTTAGGGCTATTTCTTCTGGTGTTTTCTTATGTTTTGTCTTTCCTTTTCTTTCCTTTTATTCCCACATGCCGTGAAAGTTTGGAGTTGGCCACAATCTCATTTGTGAATTTGGGCCTTCCACTGTAGGATGTGTAGGGTGGTCAGTCATGAAATGTGTATTTGTAAATACGTGTTTGTTCAAAGCAGTCTTAGCACCCGGATTTCCTGAACATAGTTCTGATATGGCTTTATTCTCAAAGGACTTCTAGCAGTGATGCTACATTTTGGTGTTGACCGTTGGAGGCAAGGAAATGTCCAAGTTGAATTGGTCTATGTGATGTTGATCCTTTAACTATGAGTGTTTACTGCCTTCCCTGGGAACTTGGAGCTTAGCCGACTTTAACAGCCATAGAAGACAAGCCTGATGTTACTTCTAAATACACAACCCTCAGTTCTCTATCACCTACCCTCCTCTTTCACTATCTTTTAAATTCCTGACATTTATTCATATAAACAGTTCAGTAGTTACTGTTTTATTTGGTTCCTTGAATAGGTCTGACAGCATTTGGAAAAAGACAGCTTATGATGTGGGCATCATGGTCTTATTTCACTGTCATCCTTTTAATTGTATTACTTACATCTGATAAATTTTCAGATTATTTTCTACCTTTTATTACTGATCTAGGATACTTATGGCAGTGTTTTGAAAGGTGAGAAACACAACACTGCTTTCTGAATTTTTTCTAAAGACTATGGTGCATTTTATGAGATAAATGTTTAAAAGGTTGTTATGAATGAGACAGCCTACACTGAATGACTGAGGAGACTGGACAGAATGAAACCTTATTTTAAAGGAAAAATAAGCCATTTTTACCTTCCGTAAGTTTACTTTGAAAGGTAATAAACAAATTGTTTCCTCACTGGAAAAAAGGGAGGAAATAACATATTCGGGAGGCAGAGGCCTTTAATATCTTGCAGGCTGTTTGACTGTATTCTGAATTTCATGTCCAAAACTGTCGTTGCTAATGTAGACTTATGAACCATCATTTAAAAAAATCCAAGGAGGCATCTTGCATTTAAATTGTAGAATTATTAGACCTTAATTTTCAATGAAATGAAAAGACACTAGCAATTCTAGCTGTTTTGCTTTAGCTAATAAAGCCATACTTGTTTCTATTTCCAGTGTCTTATTTCCAGGAAGACTGAATTTTCATAAATAGGCAATGGATAAGCAAGCCTTCTTAGCTTTAGTACTGATACTTTGTATCCCTCCATTATTTATTAACTGGACAATTAAGGCCCTCTGTGAGATACATTTTTTTTCATAATGATAGTCTCCCATTTAAAAATAGAGTTGTAAAAATCATAAAAGCTATAACGATATAAAAAGAAATGTGATCAATTTTTATGAATCAGTGTGAACTAATTTCAGTGGTGTGCAGGCAAAATGGTGAATGCAGCTATGGCTCAGTTCTCGTGCAATGTATGATGTGTAAAGAAGAAAGGAGAATCTCCCATTGGTTCTTTGCAATGGTTGCTCCTGATTCATGTCCCAGCAGTGGTATAGGATCTTAGAACTTCAGATCTGTAAAGGTCCTTAAGGGGGATGAGAGTGAGGCCAACCCCTTGTTCAGTCTCCCCACAAGTAATCATCCAGCTTCTGCTAGCCAAAAAACAAAAACAAAAACATAATGAGAATGAAACTGCCTCCTATGGTAGCAAATTTCTTCTTTTTTGGATAGGTCAGAACAAATTCCATTGTATGTGGGCAAAGAAGCCTTCTTTGAACTTCCAGCCCTTGGTTGCAGTTCTGCCCTGGAGACCACACAAAATAGTCTAAGCTCTTCAGTTCACGTCAGCCCTCCCAAGGTCAAAGGACAGCTTGCCTATCTGTGTTCGCTGTGTTCTCATTTTTTAGGGCAAAACGTCCCAAGCCAAGCTTGGAGAGACTTCAAGAAACTCTGTCTAGATATGCAGGTGGGAGGTGACTGGGCCCTAAAGGCTCTAACTCTATTTTTAGGTTACATAGAGCAGGGAGAGGCGTCTTTATCTCCTGCATATAAACTTTTTTGAGGGAACATGGGCTGAGAAGCAGATATTCAACATCCTTTTCCCAGGAAAACACCCCTCCGGATATCCTCTCTAATTGCCACAATATGAGAACCCCAAAAGATCAAAAGGCTAACAGGAACGTTTCCAGGAGGAATCAAATAACTAATGTTGAAGCCTGATGCTTCCTGTGAAACCATACATCTCTCACTGTCACCATATTGGCATATACTTGGCAGATGACAATGGCCCTCAGAGTTGAGCAACTACTGCACGTCAGACACTCATCTGAACACTTTCCATACATAAACTATTAATACTTCCAGTAACCTTGAGAAGTAGTAGGCAAGCTTATTGCCATTTTTATGATGGGGAAATTGAGGCCCAAAGAGGTTGAGTCACTTGCTTAAGATCACATAAGTAAGTAGTAGAGCTGGGATTTGAACCCTGGCACTGTAACACTGAACTGTGATACAGCTTCTCAGAGATAAGTCTTGAGATGTTGCTCAACGTTGGCCCCCTCTGAACAAGCTACTACTTGGAAGTTATGAAAAGCCACTCTTCTGGCTGTGACCATCGTTTCATCCTGTAAGGGGGAGATTGGGTCCTAGTATTATTCATTCCACTCTAATACTACATCATTGAATAGCTACATTCTCTTTGCAGTCTATTTGGTAGCCGAGCACCAGCTTTGTGATGAGTGAAATCTTAAGTATAGTGCCTCCTGAAGAGAGGAATAGGCATTCATTCATTCGTTCATTCAACAAATATATTCTGGGTGTCTACCATTAGCCAGGCACTGGGGATATCATAGTGATATTTGTATAAATGGCCCCTGGAGTCAGACCATTAAATACTTAAAGTAGAACAAGCAGTGGGAAAAAGTCCAATGTTTTTCTAAGATGCCCTAGATCATATCTGAAAATCCTTCTGGTGGCAGAGATTGTGGCACTTTAAGATGACAAAAACAGATACCCATTGCCCAATCCTACCCAGCCTTCTCTTCAGTACCACTGCCCTCGTTGCTTCATGCTGGAGATTTATGTGAATGAGATCAGCATAGGAGATGGAATTGGTCAAAACCACAGCAAATCCAATTTCAATGAAAGGGCTTGAGTCATCTGTCATATAAGGAAATGCATGGCACAGGGCATCTGGCTTTCTTTGTGGCTGCCAGGATGCCAAGCGGACCCAACACTCCCTTGAATGATTTTTTGTGTCTAGTACTCATTTTTTTCACTTGTTGTACAAGAGGCATCTTAAGTCAAAATCTAACCCTTAGTACATTGTACCACATTGTTGATTACTGCAACCTTTCAGTCATTATTCAACAAATCATTTCTTGTACTGCACTATTGATTAGTTATTATAAAACCCTGAATTCAACTGTACAGTATTGGTTCTTTTTGCCAAAGGGACTCTAAATTAGAAAATAATTTTGATGGCTGGGCGTGGTGGCTCACGCCTGTAATCCCAGCACTTTGGGAGGCCGAGGCAGGCGGATCACGAGGTCAGGAGATCGAGACCATCCTGGCTAACACGGTGAAACCCCGTTTCTACTAAAAATACAAAAAAAAAAAATGAGCCAGGCATGGTGGCGGGCGCCTGTAGTCCCAGCTACTCAGGAGGCTGAGGCAGGAGAATGTTGTGAACCTGGGAGGCGGGGCTTGCAGTGAGCCAAGATCGCGCCACTGCACTCCAGCCTGGGCGACAGTGCATGACTCCGTCTCAAAAAAAAAAAAAAAAAGAAAATAATTTTGTCAAATACTATTGTCACAGCTATTAATGGGGCATCCCAAGATGAATAGTTTCTTGCTACCAAATACCTTTTATAAATATTGCGTTTAGAATTGAGTCTAGAGATTCATCTTGACTTGGGGGGAAAGGTCTATTAAAAGGACTTTATATTCCATTTTGCTTTGGTCTGGTCTTGGCACGGGAGTGTGGATTTTGCTAAAAAAACCAAACAGAGCCAGCTGTTTTCTTCCAGAGAGCCACCTTGACTATCAGTGTGGGTGTCAGATAACAGCCTTTGTGGTGAGAAGTTTATTGTATTTACTTGGGCGGTGGTCTCTAGTATTTGCAGTGCTTCATTGGCATAGTGTCTCACTTCTGCAAGAGAAGTTATCCACGACCATGGGTCATTTACTGTCTGTCAGGCGAGACATTTATAAACCAATGTCCTTTGTGTTCTGCCCTGAGCAATGACCCCTCATGGGACTGAGCTTTGATGGAGAAAGGAAAAAGTGGTGTGTTGTGTTTGGTCACTTTCCGCTTGAGTGGCAGTTACCTGGTAAAATTTAAGGTGGAGGAGTATGCATGTCTTGTGTTTAAGCAAAGACTGGATGACCCTTATTAGGAATGTTGCAGAAGGAATTCCAGCATTAGATAAAGGTTGAACTAGATGACCTTTGAGGTTGTTTCAGCTGCTGAGTTTTTATGATGCTTTAAAATCCCTTAGGAGAAAAGCTGCAGTGTAGACCATTGGCTGTGAATCCCAAGCTTGAAATTGTTGGAAAATGATGCTCAAATCAAATCACATTAAATTCACTTTAAAGTTTAGAAATATATGACTTAACAATATTTTGTCTGTTGTTGGTTGGGGTAAAGGGGAGAATAGGAGGAAGATTATTGCAACATAAAATACAACAAACCATGAAAACAGCATCATACATCAAAATTAAAATTTTTTTCTCAAAAAATTAAAAGGATTGGGAATGACTGACCTATATATTGCCTTATTTTTCTTTTTGTCTCATTTGTGAGCTCAACAACTCCAGCGTATTAATTACTGTTGCCTCCTATTGTCATTTTAATGGCACCTTATATAAATAGAGGCAGTGAAGCTAGTTGCTACTCTCCCAACACACCCCATTTTTTGCATTTCTGACGTAGTGCAGGGACCCTTCTCCATTTGGTTATTGGCCTGCTTGTTACAGAAGTCAGTTAACTATTCTTCAGGTCAGAAGTGAGATGTTAGCATTCTCACAATGAAGAATATATGGTATTCTCCCTCTTATCTACTCACTTTCTGTGTGTTTTTAAAATAAAACCTAAGCATCTTCTTTGTTCATAGCATAATGGAATAAATATTACAGTCTTTGAACACATTCTTCGTGAAATCACTTGCAGCAATTTCTAGTGTTTGGTTTGTACTAGACATCTCCCACTCACGTAGACATGAAAATAATACGAAGCGGAAGAAACTACAAATGAAAAAAGAAAACCAGAAAGAGTGTTTACAAATTCAGAGAAGAATCTAAACTATTCTTGTGCTTATGCATTAAGGGCACATACTATGCATGTGACATCATTTAATGACATTAGAATGTGCCATTCGGAGACCCGAGGAAATAAGTTAATAAGAATGTTTACCTGTGCATATATACAGTGTGTATATATACATACATATGTACGTATACATACACACTGTATATACAAACATATATATAAGCTAGTTGTAGAGTCTAGGCTTTTGTGAAACTTAAACTCTTAAGATATGTGGTCCTAATACCCCATACCACCTCTCCCCACTCCATATATACAAATAACCTTTCTTACTCTGTTAGCCTTTTTGTCTGGTTGAAGGCTGTTGTGTCTAAACATATTATGACATTTTGTTTTAAACATTTTTTTAGAATAAAATAATTAATGCTAGCTGCCCTGAAGATTTGTGCATTTAAAAGTAAAATAAAAGTATATAAATCTAGTTTACATCTGAGATGTTTCAAAGAGGGACTTTAACTATCTAACAATTTAAAAACTTGCAAAATCCCTTAATGTCCAAGATGGACACACCCAGCTGTATTCTGGGCCTGCTGCTTGTCTAGAACTATTTTCAAATGCTTTTGGATTCAGTGAAACCCGAAATGCATATTGCCTCAAGCCCTTTTTCCCTCTTTAACTTTGAGACCCCTGTGTATTTGGAAGGAAATGAAATACATGTGTTTCTGATTTATTTACACTCATCAAAATGTTTTGTAAGAGCATTTGATGTTCTAGAAGCTTTTGTGAATTTTTGAAAATAAACTTTTGCAAACCTTCATCACCACTCTCACTGCCGCTTTCCATGAAAAAGTCATATTTAGCTGAGGGTAAACAAATTGAAATGCCCACCAGGGTTGAGTTCAATTCTTTGTAGCTTAGGCAGAGTGTCCTGGGGGCTCCAGGTGGTAGGCACCCGGCTCCCACGTTTTTGTGCTGGCGTAACTGGGCTCAGCAGGTTGCAATACTCTTCTGGTTCTTCTTAACACTGGCCCAGCTGTTCTTTCTTTTGGATGCAATAGAAAGAATTTCCAAATAGATTTAAACTGAACAGAGAATTGACTCCTGTAACCAGAACTTTCACTGAACTCTGTAGAAGAAAGGCCTTTATCCTTATTTGTTATGTGAAATAAAATGTCTTAAGTGGGAATAACTTCCATATCTCACAGTGCCTTTTACTTCAGACTTTAGAGCTGTGTTAATAATTTTAATCACTATACCTACAGTTCCTTTTTCTAAAAAAAATATTAAGGAATCTGATATACAGTAATCAGAAACAGTTTTGATCAATCTCTTTCATTGTGGCTGGTGGCTCTAGCCTTTTTTGTAAAGTAATTTGTTTATGCTTACAATTACAAAGTGCTCTAATAGCCTTATTCTATAATGACCCAGACAGTGCCTCTGAGAAGAAGTCTTTGTGTGGAAGTCAAACAGTTTAGTGGAGCATAAAGACGGCAGACATTGCCAAGGCCAGGAAAGCCATTTATCAGTGCATGGCCTACTATGCACTGAAAATGAACTTGGATAGAAGCTACCTTAAGTCTACTTCCTTCTCACAGGGGTTTGGCTTGAGGGAAGCAGGCTTTCAGGGTTGCAGTCATATCAGTGCATCAGTGGGTCACCAGGTACCATTTGTGTGGAGGCTCTGATAATGTCACTGTCACCATTCTTGCACCCTGTGACAACACAGAGGACTGGCCAATTACAAACCCAGGAAAGCTCCTAGTAATTATTCAAATTCATGGTACATTCAGGTATAACTTACAAACTGAATGTACCACATTCAGGTTCCACAGGTACCTGAAAAGCACGTGCATGCACACACACACACACACACACACACACACACACACACTCACTGAGACTTTTGCCTGGATCTTGCAAAAAAGTTACCCTAAAAAATAATATGTCTACCTTTGGTGGTAACTAACACTGCAGCACATTTCGTAGGAGGTAGTTTTTGTTATCAAGATATACTTCCCCTCTATCTCATAAACCTTAAGAAGGTATTAGAAACAAATTACATTGCATAGTTTATATATCCATATCTCCAAGGATTTCTATATGTCAATAAAATGCCAATCATCAGATTTGTCCTGATGTGAAAGTCAGGGACAAAATGACCACCTAGCTTCTCAGTTGAGGCTACATGGAATTACGTATGAATATTTCAGATAAGATCAGATCTGATCATAAACTCTTATTTTTGTAGCATGCAAGTGTGTGGATAATGTGTAAAAAGGAAGACATAAGTCAAATGTGTCACATCTGAGACTCTCTTGCACTGAGATTGAAAAGGCATTGCGTCCATGAAACAGCCCTTGTGCCGTCCAAAAGCACTGCTCCTTTCTCCTCAGTTGCATCAAATTTCTGTGGAACTCATACCATTGCCAGATTAGGGCAATCAACAGGGGCAGAGAACTTCAAATGAAACTTCCGCCACAGTGCAAGCATTTGTCACCATATTGTCGGTGAGCCAAAATCTTTCCCCTTTGTGCTGATGGCTAAACAAGAATACTCTCACAATCTCCCCTGTTGTTCTTTTTCTAAGTGTGCCCTGAAAAAGTTCTGATGCAAAATAGTCAAATCACGGCTGTTACTTGCTTGCCACCTGTCCTGACGACAAGAGGAAACATGGGTTGCACCTACTGGACCTAAAGTCTTCACTTCTTCTCCAAGGATTGCAGGTGTACAGCTCACTATATTTAACTATGCGGGCTGTCCCAGAGGGGGCTTGTGCATGCATTTGCATGGGGCAGAATGATCAGCTCTTGCCTCCAGTCCATCTGGTGATAGGGACAGTTTCACATTATATGTGTATTTTCGGGAACATTTTGTATTAAGAGGTGAGAGTGGACTTTCTGGGCATGGAATTGTTTGTTTATGGAAACAGGCATACATTGTGTCTACAAAGCAATAGGGAAAAGGCTTTGCGGGAAAACTTCAGTCCCTTCCTGCTTAGGGAACATGCTGTGGGAACCTTTTAAGTTTTTCTATTCACTATTTTACTGTTCTAGGTCTGCATTGAGTGGGAGTTAAATTTTAAATGCTCATCGGGTCTTTGCAAAGCCTTTTAGTATACAATTGCTGGTACAGTTGCTTATACAATTGTACAGTTGCACAACGATTACTTATGATTGATGTGTATTTAGATTGGCTTTGGCTAGGCAAGAGTGGTATCACAAAACCCTGCTCCAGTTTTGAAAAAAAACTACTTTATTAATATATTCCTATCTTGTTGATATTGTCATATTTATACGTTCATTTCTTGCAACTAAAGCCTTCTGGCACATCCATTTATAAACTATTCCAATAACTTAGTATAAAGATCTGCTCTACGTGATCACACATGTGGGCATGCAAACACTAATAAAAGGAGAAACTGAGGCAAGGAAATCATGCAAATTTCCTGAGGTCAAATTTTGTATTGTGATAGTACTGAGAATACGTCCTTGAAACAGGAATTCGACTCCAGTGACTAAAACACTTGCTCTCTGTAGCATCTTTGTGAAATGCAGGGGTGAGATATATGCATATATATCATCTTCATTAAGAGGAAAGTGAGATATTTATGGTAGCTGCTAATGTTAATATCAATTTTCAACATTAATAATAAAATGAGCAGAATGAAGCCAATAGATCCAGGTCCTGTATATGATTAAATTTATTTATTTTCATTTTTAAGTGAAAATGTTAAATCAATTGCATGATTTCCTTTGAATTTGTAATAATGACATTATAAAACATATACATGTACATATACCCCATTCATGTAATTAAACAGATTCATCAAACATATTGTTGAAAAATCTTGGAAATGTGTGGGACAGAGGATTAATTAACTCAGAAGCATGTAAACTCTAAAAAGTTTGTTAATCTATTTTCATTATACATATGCTCTCCATGTATGATTTGTGACAGCTTAAGGACAGATGGCCGAGTAATTTACAACTCTGACTTCAATTATATACCGTGTTGTTCAAATGAAAATAGCTCTCTTGCAGCATAGATAGAGATGTTAGCAACCATTTATAAGAAGTGTTTGGAAATTAGGATGAAAGACAAAGCCTGCTTTGTTTGATTTCATGCAAAAAAATTTAGAATGCCTGTTCATAAAATAATTTCCAAATATTAGTCTTTAGTTCTTGACAGTTTCAAAATTGTGCAAGTGTAAAATGGAATTTTAACTGCTTTTCTTTTCTCTTTCATGTAGTTCATAGCAGATATTTCAACACTGTCGCTGCTCCAGAAAATCCTTGGATCCAGTTCCTCCAGATTGAGAAAGGAATGACATACTCTTTAGGGTAATCGTGTAGGCAGGGATGAGGAGAATGGTTGAAGAGAGAATTCTGTGTTTTGACTTGGAAAGGCACCCACTCCACCCTTGTATTTTCAAAGTGGCTCTTAGATGTCGGGCAGTATGATTCTCATTCAAAGCCTGGAACACCAAAGAAGAAACTCTGCATCTTGCCACTTAAACTTACTGTTAGCACTTCGGTACTGATGTACAGCTTTGGTTGAAGCCTCTCTCTCTCTCTCTTTCTCTCTCTCTCTCTCTCTCTCTCTCTGTGTGTGTGTGTGTGTGTGTGTGTGTGTGTGTGGTTTGAAAATTGTATCCCCCTTCAGACTATAACCTAGTCTTTTAATGTGCATGAGAAGGGTAAAAGTAAATATATGCCCCTATAGAGAAAAGGAGGTAATTTATTTATTGCTTTTCCATTTTTAATTTGCCCATTCTAAACAATGTTCCAGAAGGATTTGTATGACTTAATACTTTCCAGAAAATATTCTGTTTTTGTAGGCTAATGGTTCAGTTTACTTCTCATTTCTTCATTGCCTTTCAGATAAGTACTTCCACAGGAACTTAGCATTAAAATTTGCCTTTTCAAATGTACCATATGGAATTCCCAAAGGAAATAATTTTTAAAGTACCAGTCTCACTCAATTTGGCTGTAGAGCTGAGTTCTCTTCCTCTCACAACCCCCTTCCCCAATTTAAAACATTTTCATAAACTCAGAAACAGAGGAGCTAACAAGAATCTCTGGATCCATTAACATTCAGTCATGTAGAATTTCTCAGAATATTCCCATCTTAAAGAGGATGTGGAGACAACATTTGAATGGATGACATTATGTGTGTTTCAGAAGCCAGGTGTAAAGAGCACTTTTCCATACATTTTATATCTGAGTTACCAATGCCTCATCTTCCAGAGAGCAGGCAGTAGGCGGCATGTGTGTCCTGGGACACTGAGCTTGCCTTCCTTTACTAAGGGCTGTAACTGCCACATCACCATTTGGAGTCATGACTTGTAAAGTACTCAGTCTTATTTGTTGACAACTGTTGTGGGCACCTCTCCCTTTTAAGTGTTCTAAAGGAACAAGTTTTGAGAAATTAGGTCAGTTGAATTTTCTAATATTTTTGGAATGTAAATTAACTGTACAAAAAGCTTCAACTGCAGTTGTAATTGTAGCTTGTTAAAAATGAAAAACAGAGATGTCAGAATTCTATTAGGAAAAAATAATTATAGTAATATTTTCCTGCTATATTGACCCTGCTAATTGTATAAAAGAAAGTACATTCAAAATTTAACTTATGTGTACGTGTGTGTGTGTGCATGTGCAGGAGAGAGAGAGAGGTGTTAGAGCCACCAGTTTGCTGAAGTAATAACTTTCCTTTTCTTCTTTTCTATAACCAAGCATAATATATAAAGAGAGCTTTGACATAACATTTAAAGTCTAAACTCCAGCCAATGTCAATATTATATAGCAAATATTGACTTTAATCAAAAAGGTCTGACTGATGTTACAGCTTATAAGAACAAACAAAATTGTAACACTTATCATTAAATTACCACTATAGAAATATGTAGATGATAATCTCAGCCCAGTGAATGAGCTGATTCTCAATAGATAATGGTCCCATTAGTCAGATATTATCATTTAGCTTATCTATATTACTTAGAAATAGTTTATATTTAAATAACCAGAATAGAAGACTTCATAAATACACATTAGGTTGTGGGCTATAGATTTCAACACTATCTATCTATAGATAAAGCTATAAATAGATGAATATTGAATATAGTAATTTAACACTTAAGTAATTTTATAGTATCATTAAAAGGAATCACACTTGAGCCATTAATTGTAAGGATTTGAAATGTTAGAAAAAACAGTTGTGAAATTCACAGAGAAAGACAGGAAGAACATTCTAAACATCATCTATTTTGGAGATGGAAAACAACATTTGATTTCATGTATATATAATGTATCCCATAGTAGGGACTCAGTGTCAGTAGGCTGAGATAACATACGAGAAATCTGAAAGTTCTGACTGCTCTGTGTGCTTAGGACCTCCACAGGGTACCAGACTTTACCAACTTCAGGACTTCCACTAGTCTGAGTAGCCAGGGCACACCAGTCACAGCTCAGAGAGACACATCCTTAGGTTTGCTGAAAACACCTGTTTCTGAGAGCAATCATAGTATAATAGCTTTGACTCAATAAAGTGATCTTCCGTGAGCAAGAAGATCAGTTGGCAGAAAAGGAAAAGGAAATGTGGCACAAAAAACTTGGCACTCCACTATAAGAAATAACTTTACCTTTGTTAATTCATTTAGTCGGTGGATTCTTATTTTATTTAATGAGTTATAATCCATTACTATCATCATTTATTTATTTATTGCTAAAATTTGAGGTAATTTTAGATTCACACATAGTTGCAAGAAAGAATATACAGAAGTCCTGTGTACTTTTATCCAGTTTTCCACAGTGGTAATATCTTGCGAAACTATAGTACAATACAATCTTGTTTTTTTTTTTTTTTTTTTTTTGATGCACAAATTTTCCCAGACTTGACCAGTGGGAGCTGTTTCTAGCTGGCTCCTATGTCCTTTTGATTATGAATCACTTCCTTAATTTCTGGAACAAAATACTTCAGGTTCACCTGGTACTTTCTCTGCTTCAGCCCTGGATTCATCTCTCTTAGAAGCCTAATTTCCTTTATTGGAAAATGGTACTTATAGAACAAGATATAGAACAAAATGGTACTTATAGAAAAGGGGATAGGTATACCTTTACTACCGGAGTGCCATTATTTCTAGGCCATCTCAGCAAATAGAGCTAGGAAATATATACACGTACATGCACATACACATACATGAACACACATCTATCTCTATTTCTATATCTGTTCATCTGTATATACAGCATATTAAAATATCATGATGTTATAATGATCTCACCAATTCCAATAAAACACCACATTCCAGTCTTTCCCCTTTTCTTACCGGTAACTCCCTTCTCTAAAATTGAGAAATTTAGCTCACATGATCCACAATATACTTAGTTATTTAGTCAATCCAAATGTGCTAACCCCTAGCACTGTGAAAAATCAGTTCAGGTAAGAGTCATCAATGGATCATAAAAGCAGTGGGTGAAAGTTTGAGGAGTAATGAAATATTTACATAATTTCTAAGTATTTCCCTACAAAATATTTATTAATTGCAAGGGGAAGAAGTAGCAAATTGGCAGTGGAGAAACCTGGCAGACACCACCTTAAGCAAGTGACCAAAGTGAGCATCATCAGGAATGAGACATGGAGACCTCCTGTGCCTCCTGATGAAATGCACTGAGGGGAACACAAGATCACTTTTGTGGCATTTCTGCCAATAGTACATAATCTGGATTTAACTATGAGGAAACATCAGACAATAAACCCAAATTGAGGCACATTCTACAAAATAAGTGCCCCTTTTCTTAAAAAAATGTCAAGATAGTGAAAAATAGAACTGGAGAAGTGCTCCAGGGTAAAGGAGGCTACAGAAACATGAAAACTAAATGCAAGGCATGAATTTAGATTGGATCTTGGACCCTTTCTTTCTTTCTTTTTTTCTATAAAGTATATTATTGAGACAGTTGGTGAAATCTAAATAAAGTTTGTAGGTTAGATAACAGTAGAATATCAACATCAATTTCCTGATTTTGATAATCATATTGTGGTTATGTAGGAGAATGTTCTTTTTTTAGGCGATACACAATGTTGGGTTTACAGGTAGGGGGCTATCATGACTGCCAATTAACACTACGTGAAAGATATATAGGCTATTTTAATGTTCTTACAGCTTTTCTGGAAGTCTGAATTTTTTTTCAAAATAAAAATGTTTCAAAAAAACAAATGAGAAATGTTCCCCCGCCACCTCATCCTCATTCTATGCATTGACCTTTGTCATTTCCTGGACCAGTAATTGGGTCCCTTCTAAGTCACCTGAAACCATCTTGTTTGCTTGCCCTAACTCTAGTACTGGCTCAGATGAGCCTGCCTCTGTACCTCTGTATCCCATTTCTCCTGTTGATTTCTTTCTTCTCCTGACATCAGAAAACCATTTGAAGGACAGTATACACATTATCCTTTCCTTGACTCTTTTTAGCAGCTCTCCAATGACCATTTGCCTTTAGCTGACCCAAGAAAGTGATGCGCTGCTAACCATAGGTAGTGTCCTGTAATTGCAGATTTCAACTGTTTTCATATGCTTAGAGTAGCCTAAGGCAAGTAACAATCTGTGCTAGGAGAAGAGCAAAGACTACTGTAATTCACTTTACTTTTTAAATTTACCTCTGGAAAAGAAAGAACAAGAGAGCCAATAAAACTTGAGGGATTTGTTAATTTGTTAATTTGGTATTTGATTTGCCCTTACAGCTGTACCTCACCTTTTAGATATTTTTCTACTTTGGGAAAACTTTAGCACACTAGTCAATTATATATTATTTTAACTTCTCGAGGTGAGCTTCTCATTTAAAGGGAAACTGAGATCAATTCTTTTGTAAAATCAGTCATCACTTCCTACTCTTGTTAAAGGAATTTTTTTCTGTGTTGATATGTCTTCAGTTGTGAAGTGCACATATATGTTATAGAAATTCTCATGGCGTTCCTGGTGTTCAGCCTTAGACCTTTGACAAACTCCTGGTAACATGGTCTCTTGAAAGGCAGAGTGGAAATTGGGGCTAGGCATGATGTTATGGCAATCATCTGGCTCAGGAAAGCTTCTGGAACTAGGGAGAGAAGTGCCTTCCCATTTACATTTTGGATTCACTCCAGTTCACATTTTGGATTCATTTCAGTTCATTAATTTTTTTCATAAGCACTATAATACTTTAAAATAATAAATATTTCTAAAAGAAACAATCCGTTCTCAACTCACTTAAACCAATGTATTCAAAAAGCCATATGAATGTTATTTTCATTCAGAAAATTACACATCTGGGTATGGAATTTGCTTCAACTTCACCATGTTGAGTATAAGTGGTCCCTATTTTTTTTTAATAAAGGGCTTTTCTGTAGTTATCTGAGAACATTCATACAAATTTCTTTCAGGTCATTAAAGTAAAAATTTTGATTTAATGCGGATAAGTTATTTTAAAGATTTTCCTTAAGAAACATCTTCTGTTTTCCTACTGTGCTCATAAAGTTGATAATCATAACTTAAGTTATATTGATACAAATTTTGTCCCAGATTCCAGATCTGAAATATCATCAATCATAAAGATTTATAAACAAGCCAGTAAAAATAAGCCCATCTGTTTTCTACTCCAAGGGTGCTAATGGAGGTGCACACCAGTGTGATGTCCAGGACATTTTGTCTGCCTCCTTAGTTAATGAGAAAATCTGTGGTAGCCCAGTGCTGGCTTTGGTAGGTTGAGGGAGTGGACTGCCATGCATGACCCCATGACCCTTCCCATTCCATTGAAGTTTTTCTTCACCCATGATGACATGAGGCAGTGTGTTATCATTAAAGGAACACTGAGAGCATCTATCAGGCACCTTTTTTGTTCCTATGCAATGGGGCCTTTATGTACAAAAACAAAGTATAGGTCAACACAGCTACAGCAACTGGCTAATCAGTAAATGAGTAGATTGTGCTTGTGTTGACATTTCTGTTGTCAACCTAGTCATTTGTTTGTTTAAATGATGGTTGTTAACATATCAAAACTAAGCTTGAGAAAGTGATAAATTGGATGCGTGTTTGTCCAATGGTTTCTGATGCAACATGATATTTTAGCAAAAACCTTCTGATGTGCGCAGATTCTCCGATGAGGTTCAAGGAGTAAATAAATTATTCTGAGGGTAGGAGTACTCCCACCACATGGCAACCTGCTTTGAGGCTTCTAGCACCCTCATCACCAGCTTTCCAAACCAAAGAATGAGGCTTCTGGAAAACCCACCCATATTTTACTAAGTATCACCAGATGGTTGTAACGATTATTAAAACAAAATTGGAAATGGTTTTCCTCTGTTGTTGGGAATGAAGTGACATAAGTGGCTCTCTTGGAATGGCTAAAATGATAAGCAGCAAGTGGGTAGTCAGGAGTTTCTGGAGGTGCCCTGTTGCCCATTTGAATCTTAGCTTAACCATGTAATCCTGCGACTTTGGGCAAGTCCCTTCCCCTCTTGGTGCCCTGGTTTCCTTATCTGTAAAAAAGGGTGGTTGTGCTTATCAGACAGGTTAATATGTGAAGGGGCTGAGAAGAGTGCCTGGCATGTGGCAATACCTGTGCCTACTTCATGGGGAAGTCAGGAGCATTAGATGACTTCATGTGTGTCAATTATCCAGGATGGTGTCTGACTCATATTGAGCACCCAAGAAATGTTATATCGCTACTGTTATCATTATTGTCATTCTCAGGTCATCTGTGGGCAGATTTGCCAGCCTTTTCCATTGAAGAGCAGATACTCAATATATGGTAGCTATTGTTAATATTATATAATATTATGCCTGGCACATAAGTGCTAAAAAATGTCAGTGTCACTACTATTTAAAATTGTTATCACATCATGAAAATGTCCAGGAATCTTCCATTTGGTTGAATTAAAACATTTTCCAAGTTAGGTGACTTGGCAAGTGTTGCCTTGGGGTGATTTTTGCAGACTGTTCATAACTCCAGTCTTTCATTCCCATCCCATGCCTTCCTCTTTTGATATGAATTAATTCTATGCGTTGAGATTTCCTAAGTCTGGTGGCAATTCTTGTAAATTTGCTCCTTTTTTTTTTCTTGCTTGCAATGTCTTATATAGTTAAGCTGCAATTCCCCACATCACCAGCAGGTGCTGAGGACTAACACAAAATATGTTTCATTCTCGAATTTTTTAAGATTGGGAAGCTTGGAATTTAGGGAAAAAATAGTGTTATACTTAGGAAATGAGAATATTGGAAATTATATAAAATAAGTTGGACTACAACAAGTATATCCTATAGGTATGGTACCCTGACTATTCTTGAGAGAGAATTGAAAGCTTAAGACCATCCTGTTTTTGTCTGTTTAATCATTTACATTTAGCACATGTTTGGGTGGCTCTGCCAGGTGTTCAGCTGAGTGCTGTGGGACCAATGATGAGGAAAAAATGGAAAACAGACATTAACTTTGCCCTGGCTTTTTCTCTTTTTTAGGCATACAGACAGGAAAAATGGCCAGTGAATTGTTCATTAAGAAAAATATAACTTCTGTTTATTAAAATGGACTTTATTAAAATATATCAGAAAAATGAAAGCAAAAAATATATGGTAAAAGTATGAACATAACATTCAAATGCATCTTGGGATGATGAGGTAGAGGCAAACACAAGTCTTCCCCATCCCCCATCTGACACAGTCTTCACAAAGCACTGTATTTGCCAGGAGGACTGAATATTCGCCTTCACAAAAGAAGGCAATGAAATTTAGTACTGATCCAAATAAAATGAAATCCCATGTTCCAGAATTCTGAATATTTATTTTAGGTACAAGGTAAAGGGCAGGTTGGAAAAATGTGGCTTGTTTATCATCATTTCATAGAAGATACAGTAGGAAAACATTCAGCATTATGGAACACGAGATTTCATCTTCAGGAAAGTTGCCCCGAGTTCTACTGAGGCAAGAGGAATTCAAATATGCATTCATTTGTGCATGACTATTTATTATAGGTAATGCATGAAGTAGAAGGAGGAGCATGGGACCTCTCTGAGCCTCAGTGTCTTCATCTGTGTAATGGGGTTGTTGTGAGGCCCTAGGGCATAGTGTAGGTGAAAACGTTTGTAGACTATTAAGCAGCATACAAATGTGGAAGATGGTTAAGGGGTTAACGTTTTCCCAAATATTGAATTTATGTTTGTAAATGTATACAGCATCTATCTGTCTATATGTTAAGTTGGAAGTATTTGTATTTTTATTACCAGGAATCAGATATTTGACTATTTTAACAGCTACACAAGTCAGCTGGATTTCCTCAGCTTTTATTTTTATGTATTTGTTTATTTTAGAATATTTGTATATACATATGAGAAGAATAAGTATTGATAGAAGATTAATTATCTTTTTTTTAAAAAAAAAGCAAAATATTGAACTAGCTCCTTCCTGTCTTATTTGTTCAAGTGTTGTTAACATTCTTTAATGGGGGTTTTTAATCAGTTCATCATCATCACCAAAAGTACATCACTGAAATCTAGATTTAGTAAGCCCTACTAAGACAGAACATACAAATTGATATTTGTATGTTTTCTTGATTCCCATTTTGTGCAAGGCTAACTTAAGATGCCAGTGACTCACAAAACATATTGTTTAAACATGTTCAGATTGCTAACAGACCGTACTGTTATGCCTTTTAGATTCCAATAAACCATATGAAAATGCTAATTATTGAGTCTACATTAATTTGTATAAATTATGCAAATTGAGTAGCAATTAAGTATTACTGTAGTTGAGGTGGATTCCATGCCATTTTTTAACTTAATGTTGGACTGACACAGACTCCATTCACTAAAACAAATTGTTTTATTGTTGAGTGTTTACAAAGCAATTGCTGATGGTAATTGGTTGTAGATGACACTATTGTGCATTTCAGTAAGATTTATTTAACCATATGCACCACAACCAAAACACACAAACACAGGAAGAATGGTCAAGGAATGACTTTATGACAGTTCATTCAGAAAAAACAGTTTCTGTCCATGAAAATAGGCATTCTTTAAGAAAGTTATTTTAGAAACAGACAAATAAGATAAAGGAAATCACTTGGAGAGATGTAGTTAAAGAACAATTGAAAGAAGTAGCATTTAGCAAGAAGTCAAGGCATCACATTCAGTGTTTTAAGCAGGATATTGGGAAGTAATTATAATTTGAGCTGCTTCCACAGTATATGGATGAGAAATTCAGCCCTGATTTGTTCAAACTAATTGTGTATACTTTTGCCATGGTGCACAATGATTCTATCCAAATTACTTAGACATAAACAAATATTGTAACCAAATTGTGAGCCTGGATGTGTGTGTATGTGTGTGTGTGTGTGTATGTATTTAACAGTCGGTCAAACAGTGTCTTCATACTTTATCAAACATTAATTAGCTAAGTTATGAAGTGTTGGCATCTTGGGAGCAGCTTAGCCAATTTTTAGTGATGTTTCATAGAAGGCTAATTCTGGAAGAGATCATCTCAATCCATTATGTGGAAACCAGGAATTTGCAGTCACGCTCTATCACCACTGAACAGAACTCAAGGTCAATTATCTTCTGTCTCTGGGATTCAGAGTGGCTTTTGCAAATGTAAAGGTTATGCACATTGATGCAATAATTATGAAAGGAAAACAAATCTTTCCTTTCACCAAAAAGTGTTGTGTTAAAGCGTGCATAAATTATGATTCACAAATATAGTAATGGCTTTAAGGTTGAAATATGGTATCCAGGTGATTAGTAGATTGTGTTAACCTTTGATTATTATTTTTTTTTTTGAGACGGAGTCTTGCTCTGTTGCCCAGGCTGGAGTGCAGTGGTGCGACCTTGGCTTAATGCAAGCTGTGACTCCCGGGTTCACGACATTCTCCTGCCTCAGCCTCCCGAGTAGCTGGGACTACAGGCACCCACCACCAAGCCCGGCTAATTTTTTGTATTTTTAGTAGAGATGGGGTTGCACCGTGTTAGCCAGGATGGTCTTGATCTCCTGACCTCGTGATCCGCCTGCATCGGCCTCCCAAAGTGCTGGGATTACAGGCATGAGCCACTGCACCTGGCCCGATAATTTGTTTTATGTTAGTTTCTCTAATCGGCGGTGGATTTGGAGAATCTAGATTGATGACAAGTGATCTTCCTGAAAATTGAACCAAAATAAAGAGAATATGTTATGAAATTTCTGCCAGGGTCATATTTATGCCATTATTCTAATAAGAACTTTAATAAGGCAAATCTAGAAATTGGTTTTACTGGCTTCATAAATTTGTCTTTCATAGTCTCCAACTCAATTTTCATTTGCTTTGACTTAAAATATATCAGCATTCTGAAAATTTTGAAGAGTGAATCATTAAATTCAATATTTATTACTTAATATCTTAATAATAAATGTTAAATCTCTTAATGGACTGTATTTCAAATACAGCTCACTAAGTCCTCTCGTTTTCTTTTAAAAACCATACTTCAATGTAATTCCCATTGCCACTTTTGCCAGACATCCTATTTCCCTGGCAAATCTATTGAGGAAAAATGAAGTTTTAAAGCAAGGTCTGTGCTTGGAAAATCTAATTCACTCTAACTCACTAGGTCACTTAGAACCAAATGATTCAAATAGAATTCTACCTATAGCAAAACAATGGAAGCTGTACATAGGGATGTGAGTGAAAGCCTTGCTGCTTTTCTCAGATAGGGTGATTGGATGCAACAGTGGCCCAGCACTTAGCCACAAGTCTGAAGACCCCTGCCTAGGACCAGCTTCATGGCTCTCGGCAAGCTGTCAAACTCTGTGCCTGAGTGTCCTCATCTGTGACTACCATGAAGATCAAATGATACACATAGGTGAAAGTTCTTTGGAATATGAAAAGGATGTAAAAATGACAAGAATTCAGACTTAGTTAATAGAGCAAGGCATTTAAAAGTTGGCATCACATGTTTATTTTGGCTCAAACTGTGGCACTGCATAGTCTGCATTTGAATTCCAGAACTATCCATGTTGAGCTATGCAACCATGGACATGTCACATAGTTTTGTAGGCCCCAATTCCCACAGCTGTGAAATCGTGAAAATAACACTATCCACCTCATAAGGTTGTTGTAAAGGTTGAATAAAGTAATGTCTGGCACAAAAAAAGACTCTTAATAAAGGTTAGATGTTACTACTGGGATACATTGTATTAATGATGACAGAAAGAAAAACCACTATTCTTATTTTGCAAGTAATAGAAGATGTCTGACTAAGCTTTATTTCTTTTTGTATTCATTATCTTCCTTCCAGAAGTTTTGATCCTCAAAACTTTATTGAATTGTCCTGAGTATCCCACATTTGTCCATGTAGTTTTGTTTCATTTCTAAATCACATATCCAATCTTGTTACCTGCTTGCTCAATAGAATAGGATGGCTCCTCAAATGACACCCTGAGCTGTCGTATAAGGAAATGATAAAAGGTGTGGCTTTGTGGTCAGAGAGACATGGATTTGAATGCTAACTCTTCTCCTTACTCATCATGTGGCCTGGGTAAAGTTACTTAAATTCTCCATGCCTCAATTTCATCATTTGGAAAATGGAGGAAATCATAGCACCTAAGTCATAGGGTACTTGACTGTGAGGTAATTTACACAAGGACTTGGCGAATAATAGTCACTCAATATGAGAGCTGCTACCACCATCATTGTGGTTATTATGATGTGATTATTATGATTATTAAAAATTAAATCCAAACTCTTGAGGCTGACATTTAGAAGCCCTCTATAATGCGATCTACCTTTATTCTTTTCATTCCTTACAAAACAGTTTTTTTTGGTATTAGTATGGCCCAAATATTGCATGAGGCATACTTATATTAGCTAATCATTCACTATGTGTCTGAAATTCAAATTTAACTGGGCGTCCTGTGTTTTCATTGACTAAATCTGTCCACCCTACTCACACATCTATACCTCCCACCAGTACCTCCACCTTACTTCCTGCCAGGGGACAGAAAGACTTCCAGAAAGGCAGAGTTTCCTAAATTTACCCATTTCTGAAGTCTCTACTCAAGGCGGCATTCAGGCCCTGTGCCGGGCATTGTAACAAGAAATATTTTTTATTATTTTTCTTTATTTATTTTTATTAACATTTGTTAATTCTTACTTCCCAAATATGTAGTGTATAGAAGATTGGTGGGCCTACTCACTTTCCCCATGGCTATAGCCTTAGTTACCCCAATCACTATCCTGCTCTGCAGCCCCCTAACTGTCATGGTGGTTCTCTGCCCTGGCTTCATCGTAGCTAGTGGCAACAGATTTTATGATGGTGTGACTCAGCATTGGCATGTTGTACAAAGCTCCTCTAGGCAATGCCGATGTGCAGCCAGGGTGCTGAATAATTGCTAGGCTTCTGCTTCAGGCTGTTCCTTCTGCCTAGAGTGCCCCCCTCATTCCCATTCCCACATTTTTTCTTTAAGAATTCGCACTTTGGGAGACCAAGGCAGGCGGATCACCAGGTCAAGAGATTGAGACCATCTGGCCAACATGGTGAAACCCCGTATCTACTAAAAATACAAAAATTAGCCGGGCATGGTGGTGCGCCCCTGCTACTCGGGAGGCTGAGGCAAGAGAATCGCTTGAACCCAGGAGGTGGAGGTTGCAGTGGGCCAAAGATTGTACCACTACACTCCAGCCTGGTGACAAGAGCAAGACTCTGTCTCAAAAAAAAAAAAAAGAATTCGACCATCCATTTAGACCCTAAACCATATCACTTTATTCATCTTCCCCAGACTCAACACTATCTGCCTTCCATCAGCAGGCAATCTTGTGCCTGGTTGTGGGTCCTGCAAGATTGGGAAGCCTGGAGGGCTGGGGGTGCCTGGTTGGATTCAGTGTCCCTTGCCCCAGTTCCCAGCACAGTCCCCTCAGCATTGCTGACAAGCCATTGATAGCTGCCCAATTGAAATGACTGCGATATAGAGGCCCAAACTTTCTATGAAGCTAATAGAGACAGAAACTCATTATAACTTTTCTAAGTACTTGTTTATGAAGAAACCTATGCAGATATCTAGTAATCATTTTATCCCAAATTGAGATAACTGTCAACTACCTGTGTTGAAACTTTAATAAAGAGAATAATAAATATCTTCATAGAAAACATTAACTATTATCAAGCTTTGATTTTTAGTTTTACGTTGCTATCCTAAGTCCGGTAAGGTTATTTCAAAACCCATAGAGGAGACATTGAAGTGGCTTAATTATTTAATTAGCAGTAGTGAACTTTGGGAATTTTGGTCTCTGTATGTGACTCCTAGACACCCATTGTGATATCTGCATTTTTGCTTAAAATAGATTAATAAGCCAATAGGTTTTTTTTTAGAAAATCTTTTCCCATTTCAGTGAACAGTGAAATCTGAATCTATAGCTTGCAACTGAAACTATTTTTCCCCAAAGCCATTGAGGGCTTTTACTCAGTCTGTTGTAAACAATTTATTGGTAAAGTCTTAGAATATTTGCATTTTAATTAAAGAAAATTTTAATTAAATTCTAAACTTTGCTCAGAAAAGGCAAGTTTGGGCAGCTAATGCATGGTAAGATGCCTATTCAGAGATGACTTAAACTTCAGGAATTCTGTGTTTGGTGCCATTTAAATAGCAAAGGAATGTGTGTCTTTCTTGCTTAAAAATATTTCCCAGCTGCCTTTGGGGACCCTCCCCAGGAGCATACAAGAGGTTTGGAAAAGCTACAGACTGGTTAGATGTTGAGATGTTTTAGACAGACAGAGATGGATACAACAAATCTGATTGTCGTAGAGGTGGGGAAAGGGTTGGTGAAAGATGTTGCTTAGGAGAGAGGTACATATTAATAGGTACAAACATTTACTAAACACCTTCTATGTGCTGGGCACCAAGTTACCCTGAATTCAAAGATGAGTTTTGCCAAGATGATTTACGTGGTCCAGGTATAAGTTGATGAGAGAGCCTGCTCTGTGATGGGAGCTGTGGGAATGGAAAGGAAAGGAGGAGAAATTTGTTTCTAAATTTTGATTTTTTAAGTTTTTTTTTTTTCTTTCTAGCTAATGCTTATATAATTGGAGCCTCTCGGATCCTGCCGTTATGCTCTAGGGCATATAGTTTGCAGTGTATGTTTTTGTTTATTTCCAGGACCTTTTACCGAGATCCATTCACTGTCAATCCCCTGGCTGCATGTGTTACTTTTCCTCCCTGCTGCTTAGCTCAGGGCTTCCCATAGAGCTGCTTCGTTTTGGGAGGTCAGGATAATGATGCTGCCCCTTTGTTCTGTCCTCCTGAAATGAAGCGCTGATAGCAGAAGGTAAAAGGCAGTGGGTTAGGGAGAAGCAGAAATGGCCCCATCAGTCGCATCAAGATTAAACGATTCTCCCATCTAATGGTAGGAAATGAGGCGTTTTCTGCGAGCCAAACCCTGATAGCTGTGTCCTTGTGGTGCCGCACAGGACGTGCGGGGGTGTAGGTACTTTGTAATGAAGCAAGTTAAGAAATAGACTCAGACGTGGGCCATCCTTCCCCTCCCCTCAAGGGCAGACTTCAGTGTCATTAGACCAACCTTCTACGTAGTATCAAAACCTCTTATTCAGAAACACTGACGGGTATTTGACTGAATTCAAGAAAATGTACTGTTTCTAATCTTGTAACTGTTTATTAAGGAATAAAATCAAGCAAAATTATGAGGACATGTATTGGATGTTTCCCTGTGTGTAAGGCATTGTGCCTAATACAGTTGTTCTCAGGTATAGGTGAGCATTAGAGTCACTGGACTGGTAGAAGCGTGCAGATTGCTGGGCCTCACCCTAGAGTCTCTGCTTCAGTGTGTCTGGCGTGGGACTTGAGAAGCTCCCTTTCTGACAAGCTTCTAGGTGAAGGCCATGCTGCCGGTCCCTGGACCGCACTTGAAGTATGAGGCTGAAGGTCAACTTACGAGGTCCATGCTTTCAAAACTTTAATGTACACAGAAATCGTTCAGGAATTTTGTAGAAATACAGATTATGCCTCAGAATATCTGGCGAAGCACTGACTAAATTTACCTGAAAGTTTAAGCAAAGCCTATTGATTTATTTGCCTGAAAATTTTGATTTATCAAAAACAGTATTTAAAAAGAAAATAAGCCTTTGATCACAAATAGCTACTGTTTCTTAAATCCTTACTATGTGCAAGGTCTTGTGCCAAGTGCTTTGCATGTCTTGTCTTATTTAGTCATTACACTAACCTTATTAAAGTGAAGACAATCCCCGTTTTACAGATGAGAAAACTGAGGGCTCAGAGAGATTACTCAAGTCAGACAGCTAAGTAAATGACAGATTCCAGATCTGAACCTAGGTGTGGCTGATTTTGAAGCCCCGTGACTTTTATACTACACTGTTTCTCTTAATAGCTACCCAAGATAGTTTCCACTCTGAAGACATTAATTTGATATTTAAACTGTCTACCCTACTGTCAGTTATGTTCCTTGCTGATCCTTCTTTGACTTGTCCTCTGCTGAGCAGAGTATTTATGGCTAGACCCAGATAAGCAGACAGGCTCTGCTAACCAGAAATTAAAAAAAATTTTTTTTCATTAAGCATGTGATGGGTTATAGAGTTGTAATTTTTCTTACATTTTGGGCAAGCTTTAAATGTAGTATGCCCTATGAGAGTTACAGGAAGACAAAGTAATCTAATTCATTAAGCACTTATTATGTACCTTGTGCTTTAATATCTTTTTTATCTTGTAACTCTCTTAACCATCCTGAAGGTAGGAATTACCCTCCCCATTTTATGGATGATATTAGAGAAGTTTACTAACTTGTTTAGCATCATACAGCTAAACAGAGACTTGAATTGTGATTGGAAGCTGGCTACGTTAGATTTCTCAGCCATGCTATTTTCGTTAGATCATAGTGCCTCTCGGTTTCCTCATCTGTAAAATGAGGAGACTGATACTCATTATACAGGCAAATAATAATGTCTGACATTGATTAGGTGTTCAGCACATGGTAGCTATTTATTATTTTTATGAGAATCAACAAGAACTGGAAGCAACATAGATCCACAACATTGTACACCCTCATTTCTCTTTCTCTTGCTATTCTCTCCTCTTTCTGTTGTCCTCTCCCCTCTTCCCTTTCCCCACCCAACATTCTCTAAGATTGAACTATCTTTTTTTTTTAAAAAAATAAAACATTGAACTAGCTCCTTCCTGTCTTATTTGTTCAAGTGTTAACATTCTTTAATGGGGGTTTTTAGTCAGTTCCATCATCATCACCAAAAGCACACCATTGAAATCTAGATTTAGTAAGCCCTACTAAGCCCTACTTAGGCTGCAGTTTGGACACAGGGATTTTCAGGTCAGTAGTGTTCACCTTGACCCTCACAATTACAAAGAGGAGTGCCATTAGATTCCCATTAATTAAGGGTAAATGCTACCTGTCACTTTGAAAGTTTTGGTCTTAGAGTATGTCTGTATCTCTGCTTTAGAAAGACACGATTTAAGTTGCTAGATACAAGATGTCATTTCTTGTCTTTTCTCTTAGCCCTAAACATCAGCTTGCTTTAATTAGAAATAACAGTAAGGCATCTGCTGAAAGTATGTGCACTTCCATTAATCTAGGGTTACTCAAGAGAATGGCAAAGGGGTTTCTATATTACATTTGCTAATAAAGAGTATAAACAGTATTTCAAGATGAGGACTAAAATGAAATACCTAAAACCTTACCAGGTCCAGCTGGTTCATATTTACATTGCCAGAAGGAGGGATTAGAGAAGCACTGCAAAAGCACAACACCTTCTGCATTCTTAAAATTAAAGGGACAAATTGTTATCTGAAATGAGCTGCAGGCCAGAGGGGGAAAGATAACCATATCAGCAGGAACAAAGGTTGTGGCTGACCAGCTAAAAAGTGACCTTTTTTTTTTTTTTTTCATGTTCTCAGAATCTAAAAATGGAATCCCATTAAAATGCATTAAAAATAGGAAAAAAATATAATATAAAAAGCCAGTATAGTCGCAGATGCTAAATTTACACTTCCCACAACAGGGATTGTGCCTTAGTGTCATTCCCATCAACCCATCAACTGAGCTTCCCCCTAAGCAGACACCACTTCCTGGGAGTAAATGAAGCATTTTTGGGAGCTGCTCTCCCAGTTGGTCTCAGGCCACTAGGGTCCCATTCAGTTAGTTATTACTTCAGGACACTTACTGGTTCCCTAGTGGCCTCAAATAAATGATTGCAGCTCCTAAAAATCCTGACTTCCAGAAGTAGCTTGTGCATGAGGAGAATGTGCAAAACTCACGCAATGAGATAATTCTGAGGCTTCCAGAATCCTGTTACATCCAGTATAAAGCTGTGAAGCAGCCACAGTTGGTGTCTTTCGTTAGTAAAAATCATGGACATCCTTCAGGAAAGCAAAACTACCCTCTCACTGCTAGTTTCCTTCTTCATAGCCAAGACGCGAGAAAAAATAAATGTCTAAAAATTAGAGATCTTTCAGCTACGCCAGATGCCTTTGAAAAGAAACAACTCAGTCATTCAAACAGCCTGATTTTATGAGGTGACATTTTAGATTATGATATGACATTGCAGATTTGACATGATTGTGCTAATTGTGAGAAAATATGCTACTTTGATCAAACTAGAATGAAGGAAATAAAAAGGCACTGTGGCTCAACTTGTAATAAAGAGCAGCTCATCCTCACAGCTTTGTGATTGTTGCTATAGTTATCTATTCAACATGGGATGCACAATACAGTTAACGTTTCATTACCAGTAGCCTGTTGCGTGCTTATTGTTAAAAGGAATTTAACATACAAGTTTTTGTATGTTTTGTTCGCCTAATTCTGATTCCTCGTGCTGACTGGCATGAGACAGGGAGCTGGATTGTATTAAACTGGTTTTATTGTGATGTGACTATGATGGATGTGACAAGGGCCTCTATTATTCGCTGGGGAGTGTGGCCATTAATGAAGCCATTAGCTGAGCTAAGGCAAGTGAAGAAAATAGGGAAATTACCACTATTCTGAAGCCATTAAGTTGTAATCCACCACTTTCTCTCCTTACTCAAAAAGGCATCTTCTTTTTAAGGCCTCCCTGACTGTCCTTTAAAGATTCATTAATTCATTAACTTTCCAAGGAGATGGGGGTGGATAGCATAGTTGAAATTTTAATCAGTTCAGTGTATCATATTATTAACATTATGGCAGTGTCTGTGCTCATTGCTGGACCACATCAGGTTAATTTTAAACAAACCACATTACAGCAGATGTCTTTCTGTTCTATGCATAACAGAAGAGCTTCCATTTGTAGAGTACTTTAGATTTCACCATGCTCTTTTATGTTTGGTTGATACCCAGGGCAGGCACTATGTACCTCTGTTATACAGATGAGTGAACTGAGGCTTAGTGAGGCTAAAATAACCTGAGGGATGAAGATCAGCCAGCCACTAGATAGGCAGAAGTGGGTTTCACCCTTAAATTCTCACTGAACCTTTGTATTAGGAATCATGCTTTTCCCATGTATAGTCTCTGCTGGAAAAAAGAAAGCCTCTGGTGAGCACAAATCTTTTGAAAATGAATAACTTGTGTTTATTCTGTATTAAATGTTTAAAAATATTTATTTAGCTAATCAGGGATTTGCATCTTTTAAAAACAATGGCGGTGTGCTCTGTGCAAGTCATATATGTGATATACTACCCTGTGGGTGGTTTCAGTTTACTTATAAAACGTTTAGCTCAGTCAAGTTGGGTGATGTCTACTACTTGGCAAAGCAGAGTGTTCTTAAAGACACAAGCTTTGGCTCTACAGCCCTTAGCGAACCAACATTTCCCAAGCAGAAGTTAGGACAGTTTTTTCTTGAAAGGGATAGTGAGGTCAATTCTATGCTCAATCCTTGCCATGCTAAGAAAATTTGGGACCCAGAACCAGTGCCTTAGCACATCCCCAAATTGATGCCTCTTCTAACCTATTTGTGTAGATATGTTGCACATATAATTGTTGCTACCTATTGCAAGGTCCAAATGGGTAAAGGATACACATTTTGATCTTCTATACTAGGATATTCTTGAGACCTCCTAAAAGGGAGCATGAAGAACTGAGGCTTGGCTGGCTGCTGGGCAGACCACTTTGCTTAGCAGCCATCCATGCAGACAGGTGCCCACAGGCTGAAGGGCTGTCAGGGGAAGGCAGTCACAGCAAGGAAGGAAGTGGGATAGGAACTGAAACAAAGATTATTTCTCCTCATATATTTATGAGTTCCTCTAGGTGGGCTAGAGCCTAGAGCGAGGAGAAACTCGGTATGTATTGTTAAACAGAATGGATTAAAAGGAAGGGGACTGTGGCTTAAGAATTCATTGAGCAGTCTATCTTTTGGGTCATCCCCGTCTTCATCACAAGTAAGTCCACACCTGGAAATGGAACTTTTCCCTCCAAACCATAGAGTTGATCACCAGGGGGAGAGCTGTAATGAAATCTGTTTCTGAAACCAGTTGGCCTTACTGCTTCTGTGTGAGTTGGTGTTAGCAAATGGTTGCATGAAACCTTCCTGATGACTTACCATCCTCTAGAGGGCAGAGCCAGGACTGGATCCGGGCCTCCTAAATTGTAGACCCTGGTATTCAAAAGGGGGTCCATGGAACAGCAGCATCGACCTCTCTTGGTATAACTTGTTGGAAATGCCCAATGTCAGGTGCCAGCCAAACTTCCTGAATCTGAGTCTGCATTGTCAAAAGATCCCCAGGGAATGCATATGCACAATAAAGACTAAAGAGCCCTGCTGATAGGCTTGGTTCATTGAAATGTGAATCTTATGTGCAATGACTAAAGATTGTGTTCTTTTGCCTTACTTTTACAAAAGAAGAAGGGAACTGATCTTGATTGGACCCCCTACCCTGTGCCAGTAACTGAATGTGCCTGGCATCCTATATTTCTGCTTGTTCAACCTTCACAACTACCCTGGGAGATAAGCACTGTCTTCCTAATCTTATAGACAAGGAATTCTAAGCTGAAAAACAAAGTGACTTGCCCAAGGCCACAGGGTAATTGTCAAGGCTGGGGTTTGAACCCTAGTTTGTGTGATTTCAAAGCCTTCCGCATGACAGCATGCTGTAGTAGAAAGCACAGAGAGAAAATCTGGAGATGTAATTGCCTAGTTCCTCGGGGAACATCTCTAGAGGATTGATTTTATTATTGTTGTTTAACAACCCTAATTATTTGAGTATATTTTTTGTAGTGGCTTACAGCATCTCTTGATAAACATGCAAGAATTGATATTTGGCAGTATTATGAAAAATAACATTGGTCTGTAACAGTGTTTTAAGTTTAGATACTTTTGTTTAATGATCTGCACGTCTTACTTTCAACTTTTTATTAACAGGGTTAAAGTAAGTGAACAACTCTTCTGCTCCTACCATCCATATCACTTATTTATTTTTGTCCCTCCATGTTCTGTGAAGGCAGAAGTCTTTTAAGCCTCAACAGCTAATTACCTCCCCTGGGAGAAAGCTGGGAAGACAAGAAACATCGAAAAGGTCAACTCAGTTTAAGCTGGTGATTTGCCACAATGTGAGGTGAGGTGGTCACTTTCGAACTTGGAGTGAATGGTCACTAAGCGGGGACCTTGCCAGGCAGCAAGATAAGGAACCTCCCAGGGCCACCCATTTGCCTCAGGCCTTGTGTTTTATTTCATAGCCTGCTCGAATTCATTATATGGTTACATTTTTCCCAAACAAAATACTCACCGCTTAAATATAATCCAGTCCTTTCCAAGTTGAAATAATTTTGGGATTTGCCATTTGAATTACCCACAAGACATCTTTCCTATATACCCATGACTGTTTCTTAAAAGAATCCCAGCTGGGAAATGATTTGCTGCCCCAAGGAAACAAGCAGGTTTACATATCCCCATCCCCACCCTGCTTTCACTCTCTCTCTCTCTCTCTGTCTCTGATTTCTTCAACTTTTCCACTAGGGCCAACTGAGAATCCTCCCAATGTGTGAGTGTGCACACATGTGTCTCAGTTTGCCTCTGTCTTAGGGATTGGGGCTGCTGTAAAGCAGCCTTATAATGGGCAGATTTTCCTACATGTTGATTGTTAATGAGATTAATATTTTCTCCCTTGTTATGTAGGGCAATTCTGTATTCACAAGCTGTCATCTTTTTCTTTCTTACTGTGGGGCTTTCTCAACTGTCATGCCATCAGGCTCATGAGCCTTTCATGAGAAAGACATGGGCCTCTTATGAGTCCACTGAGCTCTGTCCACATGAACAGCCAGTCCAGTCACTGGCAGGATCTGTTGGTACTGTGTTACGATCACCACAGTCATGAGTAAATTTGAGAGGAGATGCTGTGAGGCTATGCAAATATCCCATTGTTTCTTAGAGCTTCACCCACTAATTTTAGCATCCATTGATGAAAGTTGCCTGCAGGAATTATTACTATGGTGTTCTAATGATGATTTTCTATTTCCCTCCTTCCATCAACCTTTACTAATTTCTTCTGTGAAGAATCCCTTCTTCTATTTATGCATTATTCAATTTGTTTTTTTATAAGTTGGGAATCATGGATATTTATTTTATTCTATGAGTTATAATCAAATACTGTTGTTATTTATTTTGTTGCTGAAATTGTTCTAGCTGTAGCTAGGGGTTTTCTACCCCCTTCATTTCTGGTTGAGGAACAGGCTGGAGAGGGGAATGCCTTGCCCAAGATCATGCCTTTGGAGACAGCACCAGGGTTAGAACACAGATCTCTTTTTGAACTCACAGTTCAGGCCTGTCTCCATTATACTGTGCCACTTTATGAAACACTGAGAAGTATCTAGGTACACTGTCTCACTTTGCTGTGCTTTTTGTTTATCTTTTGATTAATACAGTTTTGATTGTCCTTCAGAGTTGGGTACAGGAGGAAATTTTGGGTGTCAGCCTGCTGTGTTGGAAAGCCTTTTTGTCACAGACAAATAACTTCACTAGCTTGATCTACTGTAGAGTGGAATTTAAAATAAGCTGGATGCCTTTTGTATCCCTTTTAGGTTGTTATCCGATAATAAGACAGCATAGGTAGGGTGATCATGCACACTGGTTTGTCTTGAGTAGTCCTACTTAGTGTCTGTTTTTCAGGTGTAATCATCAGTATAGTACCTTTTCCCCCTCAAAAGTGTGCATATTTTGATGATCAGTTATATAGTCACCCCAGTCCACTGGTTTTCAAACTTTTGCTCCACATCAGAGTTACCTGGAGGGCTTAAATAAATTAAAAAAAAAAGAGTCACCTCGAGGGCTTGTTAAACTACAGACAGCTGGATCCCACCCCCCAAATTTGTGATTCACTGGGTCTGGGGTGGGGCTTGAGAATGAGCGTTTCTAACACGCTCTAAGGTGCTGCAGGTGCTGCGTGATTAATGTGTTGATTAACATCAATAAATTTCTTAATATTGTAATATTTTACACCTTGACATGATGCTATGGAATAGATTTATATTAAAAACTGCTTACTTTTTCTACCTAGTAAATTATGTTTATAGAGATGTAGTGACTGACACAAAGGTAAGATAGTAGTAATAGCACTGCTAATTATATTGCTGTACATAAAAAATGACATCACTATTATCCAGCACTGTTAATAGTCCTAAATGGAGTTGGATATAGTAACCTTTTATTTGAATATACCCTCTAAATCTTGCTGAATCTTTTTCTTCCCTACAGATTTTAAATTTTGCATAGACTCCATAGTTTTTATTTGAAGAGAAATGGAACTGGTAGGGGAGCCAGCATAATTTTCCACTCTTTATGGCACTGACTTTGGGATTGACACCTGCGCAGGTAGAGGACCTTTTTATCTGATAGGCTAAGGGCATAAACTGACCTCATGACTTACTCTTTCATATAAAGGAGACACAAAAGATGCATGTGTGCATGCACACACACTACCAACTGTGATGATGACAACAAATTTCCTTTGTTTGCTTTTTCTTGGTAACTTTTTGGTGACTGTCATATGCTTTCTTTCTGCATCACTTCCCCATCGTAGTAGAGGATTATGTATGAAGAACACAATGTAAGAACTGAATTTGAGACCCAGTGTGTATCATTGTATCATGCTCTGTTTCCACATTGATATTTCCCTGACATTTCATTAATATTGTTTCATTAATACTGCTTCAATAGTATTATAAGCACAGCTCATTTTCTTCTTTGTCTATGCTGGAGAGAATCTCTTGGATGGGTACATCAATGGTTCTAATTATGTAATCAATAGTAAACCAAGTCTTGAGGCCCTGTGCCTCAGTGTTTCCTTCTCTGCAGGCCAGTATATTTAGTGTTTTTGTAGTATTGGGTTTAGATGTATGATACTGCTTTGTATTTGCTGTGGCCATATGCAAAAAAGATATTACTACTTTAGCACTGATTGGGTCTCAGTTATTTGTGTGTTATCATGCATGTATTTAATTGAGCAGCTACTACATGCAAGGAGCTGTGAGAAATGAACATGAGGCCAAGATATTGACCTTGCCCTCAAGGAATTTACAGTCTTGTCAGAGAGATAATCCATACCCACAAACACCGTAAAAAGTAGACAGAATTAAGAAGTATGAGAGCTACACAGAGAACATGACGGGAATTCAAAGAAAGTACTACTCCTTTCTTTCAGTGAAGGGTCCAGAGTGGCTCTGAGGTTCATTTTGAACATGACGGGAATTCAAAGAAAGTACTACACCTTTCTTGCAGTGAAGGGTCCAGAGTGGCTCTGAGGTTCATTTTGAACATGACGGGAATTCAAAGAAAGTACTACACCTTTCTTGCAGTGAAGGGTCCAGAGTGGCTCTGAGGTTCATTTTGTACATGAAGAGATGAGAAAGGACAATCTAAGTGGAAGATACAGGAGAAACACGGAAACAAACAAAAGAATATCCAGGGAACTGTTTGCAGATCCCTTTGTCTGGTTGCATGACACAGAATGTAGCAGAAAGCCATGAACTAGCTGAAAGTAAGAAGGATTTGGCTGGCTGCAGACAGGCAGTACCAAAATGTAAGGGCATACTAATTCACTGTGGGCCAGTTACTATGCTAGGGATCGTATATACCTTCTCTCATTTCATCCTCAAAATTTCTCTGAGGAAGGGAGTGCTTTTATTCTTTCCTTGTATTAAGGCCTATGAATATATTTCAGGAGAAGAGCTTCCAAAATACTTCCAATAAATATGTGGGATGGTTAAGCAATGGCACAACAAATTTAGTTGCCGTGACCTAGGTCTGTCCAAAGGCCCCTGTACAATTCAGAAGCTCTAAAGAGAGAAATATCAACTTCCCAAGTGTCCAGGTTTAATAACATTTGAACAAAGAAAAAGTCCTTCCTAGGAGACCTCCATTTCACCTGGAGGTATTTCCTTTCTATTAGTTCTACCTGTCTATCTACGTGTGTACCAAGAAGAGGGTCACTTTTTCCCCTTCATCCTGCACCTATCACTCTCCACTGCTCATACCGCTAAGCTCTTTCATCATCCGACATTGACTTGTAATTTAACAGAGGCCATGTGCTAAGCAGGACATTGCAGTATTGGCTGGCCAGTTTGACTCAGCTGTCTTCCCACTGCAAGTCAATTGTTTTTGCCTAAAATTATTTCAGCAAGCTTTGTGCTGTATCTGTGTCACACTTTTGGCCAGTTTGTTAATGTAAGTGCTCCTTGGTAGTAGGAGTAAGATCAATTCCTGCTTTACCTACCTATGGCCCTTGGACAATACCCTCTACCCAGTGGGTTTCACCAACAGACACTTTGTGGTGGGCATATTGGCAAAAATGTTTGACTCCCAACCACTACTTCCCAAGGTTTTGCCATGCATAGAGCTCTCCTTATTTGCACACTGGGGCTTTCTGTAACTGCAATGTCCATCCATGTCTAAGGATGCAGCCAAATAAAGAAGCTGCTTCCCTTTTATTTTATTTTATTTTATTATTTTTTTGAGACAGAGTTTTACTCTGTTGCTCAGGCTGGAGTGCAGTGGTGCAATCTTGGCTCACTGCAGCCTCCGCCTCCCGAGTTCAAGCGATTCTCCTGCCTCAGCCTCCTGAGTAGCTGGAATTACAGGCATGTGCCACCACACCAGGCTAATTTTTGTATTTTTACTAGAGATAGGGTTTCACCATGTTGGCTAGGCTGGTCTCGAACTCCTGACCTCAAGTGATCCACCCACCTCAGCCTCCCAAAGTGCTGGGATTACAGGCGTCAGCCACCGCACCTGGTCTGCCTCCCATTTACTTTAAAACATCTGTTTTCGTCTTCCAGTGTAGGCATGGTCATAAGGTGGGAATACCTTTAATAGTTAAAATGGATTCTGAACAATTGGCTCATGAAATTAAAAGAAGATAAAAATACAATCTTTTTGGTATGTGTGCCGTAATATATACTGGCTAGATACATCTTTAATCATTTTTAAAGTATTGAAATATCATCCGTCATGAAAATAACTCTGCATTGCTATAAAATATTTACTTTTTATGATGTTTTTGTTTTAGTTAAAAAGATTCATAGGCTAAAAGGAACTTTAAAGGTCATCAGATTTGTTCTCATAATCTAGGAATCGGCCATTCTAGGCGAGTGAAAATGTAGTTTGCTTCTAACAGTGTCCTGAAAAATAATTTTTCAACCTTGAGGTGGGGCTATGTCAACTATTTCCGCATCCCATTCCTTGCTTGGAAATAGCAGAGACTCAACAAATATTCACTGAAAAAGCGAATGAGCCTTAAAGGAAATGCATTTAATTGGGTAGAAAGCAAATTCTGAACACATATTTGTAGAGTGAATGCGTGGAAGAAGGAATGGACAGACAAGACACTAGGAAATTTTCGGATATAGCTAACCTGATTTTCTCATGTTACAGATGAAATCAGTTTCTTCTTATTCAGTTTGCACAGTGTAAGTGAGTTTCCTCAACTAGTCATCATACCCTCTCTATTTGAAGGAAGTTATTAATTCTTCCCTCAGTCCCGTCTCTTCTGGCTGAGTAATCATAGCCTCGTTTACCTTTCCTCATAGGTTCATCTTTCCAAGCCTGTGAGAGTCTCTGTGGCTCTCTGATCCCCAAATACATCATAATCCTCTCTCCGTTTTAGAGCCTAGGCCTAGATATGCCAATGTGAGATTTACAGAGGGATTAGTGAGCATTTTGTATCTAAACCTGGATGATGACAATCACAGACTTCATTAGTGCATAAAGAAAACCATAAGACAATAGGGGTTTTGTGGGATTTGTGGTGAGTTTTTTTCAAAATTATGTTTGACCACTCTTTGCTCTTCTTTCCCCCAGTTGCTATTTCTGGAACTCACAGTTGTGATTAGACAGCATCAGAAAAGGAGGCTGCTACCTTTCACTCTTGGTTATTAAAAACAATATGTCTAATAGTTTATTATACATTTTCAAATAGCTTCCTCTAAAAACTGGAGAAAGATTTCTCCCGCCCCATACAATTCTGTGGCTCAGAGATTGTCTTTTAGCTAGAAATATTGATTTGCTGTTGTTTAGCCCCCAGTGGATTGCTTCTTATCTCTAAGACTGGATTTTTGTTAGAATGAGAGTTGACAGAATTCAGATTTAGTCAAGTGAGGTGTGTCAGAGTTGGTAAAATGTTAAAGTTTGAGAACAAATTGGATATTAACTCAGGAAATTTTGTGTGAATTTTGTCAAAAGAAGTGATTTCAAGAATCAGGGCCTTTGTGGTGTATATTTGCAGAGAATAATTATTTAATTGCAGAAGATAATTATTTAAATGCCTGAGTCTCCTTTTGGGGGAGGAGAACTGATTTCCACAGATTTGTTTATACAGATTCAGTCCTAAGGCAAACCTGAAATGAAAAATCAGTCCAAATTTTTAACAGAGAATTGCATCAGATTTGGTACATTCCTATACTGGATGATAATTAATTTTTCTTCTTTGTACTTTTTTGAAATTTCTAATTTTGTTTTACAGTGGCCCTGCATTACTTTTATACATGCTCATATAGCAAGTAAAAAAAGACACAAGCATGTATCAAATATGACCCCTATTTTATCAAATAAAAAAATCATATACAAATGCTCCCCCATCAAGCTATGATTTTTTGACCTTACAGTGGTTTGAAAGTGATAAGCATTCAGTAGAAACCATACTTCAAATTAGTAATTGAAATGCATTTTCAGCTTACAATATTTTCAACTTATGATGGGTTTATCGAGGGGCATCTGCGAATACGTATGTGCAGGAAAAAAACTAGAAGGAAATATACCAAAATGTATTGCGTTAATGGTTATTATCAGTGCTTGATAAGATTACAGGCTGCTTTCATGTATTTTTCATTCTTCTCTATATTGTTACAGTTTAAAGAACATGTATATGTGAATCAGGGTTTCTTAATTTTGGCACCACTGACATTTGCAGCCAAGTAACTCTTTGTTGTGAGGGGCCATCCTGATTATCGTCCTGAGTTTCCCTGACCTAGATACACACTAGATAACAGAAACACCTATTCCTCCATAGGTGTGACAACCAAAAATGTCTTTGGACATTGCCTAATGTCTCTTGGGAGGGGGAAAAATCAGCCCTGTTTGAGAACCACTGATATAAATTAAACAAGTGTTTCTTTAGTAAGAAACTTTCAAGCCATATAGAAATAAAACTAAGGCTTAAATAACTACAAATAAGGTAAGCAACAACATGGCTCCCCTACACTACTCTCTTCTCTTTCCATTCTCAGAAGAATGAAAGTGTGGGATAATGGCCTGGTTGAAGTTTACAGAGTTGTCAGGCGATGAATGATTTTGATAAGCCACCAATTCCCTCCCCATAAAATAAATAGACTACATAAAACAATATGGGCATAGAGATTTCTTATATGTTTAGGCACACAATTAGCACTTAATGTATGTTTAATAATAAGCAATGAACCCCTTACCAAATTAGTAGTAGAACTTATGGTCCTTCTCTACTCTAAACTCTCCTCCAGATGCTGGGAAGTGAAAAAAAAAAAAAAAAAAAAAAAAAAAGAAGAAAGAAAGAAAGGAAAAGAGATTGGGCAAAAGTTGAGTTGTTTTCTGCCTGTGATCCTTGGTATCACAACTTTAAAAGTTTTGTTCTGGAGACCCTGTGTATTGCAAAGGTCCCATTCAAGAAGAGGACTTCCTCTCTTTTGGAGAGCACCTGTGCAGTAAAGGGTTAACCTAGCAAGCTTGGGGTGTTCCAACCCTGCATATTCCAAAAACAGGGCCAATCAAGGGCTTCTGGGAGATAACTTCTAGGTCCTTGGAATATTCTGCCTGATGAGAGGGTCTTTGTATACCTGGGGAGTTGAGCCACACCAGATAGTTTATGCTAACAATGTGGGTTATGGTAGTGTCCTTGGGCCACTGTGTATCAGTTTGACCTCTGGAGGGGCTGGAGACTGAGTAACTAAAATCAGGCACGTGGGTGCTCCATGACTACTGACTAGTCCTCAATAAAAATCTGGACACCAATACTCCGGAGAGCTTTCCTGGTTGGAAATATTTTGTACATATTGTCACACATCATTGCTTGGGGAATTAAGCACTGTCTTTACTACTCTCCTGGGAGAGGAAAACTAGAAGCTTGTACTCGGTCTCTCATGGACCCCACCATGTGTACCTTTTTCCTTTGCTGATTTTAATCTGTATTCTTTCACTGTAATAAACCATAACCATGAGTATAGCAGTTTCTGTGACTTGAGTCCTTGTGGCAAAACATACTTGAGGGTGGTCTTGGGAACCCCTGACACAGCCACATGTCCTTTAACTCACAGAGAGTGATGGGGAAGGTCAGGGTTGAAGCGTGGTATGAAAACCCCAAAGCCTTGCCCAGTGTGTGTCAACTCTGACTTGATGTACAGCTTGAACTGGCTATTTTGTCCTCTAGTAGGCAGGGTCTTCACAAGCCAGGTGAATGTTGGAACCCAAGGACCTGACTGGGGGGAAAGCTGCACTTCATACCTGGGGTTCTATCCACCTGGGGAGGATATTGGTCAGTATCCCCTTCCCTGAGAATCAGACACATGTGTGCATTTGCCAGGGTTTCCCTTGCCAGGCAAGCATAGCAGAGGTATGGCCTTTAATTGCCTTTGGTTCTCAAAGTGTTCTGAGCAGTATACCTGAACCACTATGCTTGTTGGTCTGCTCACTTTGCTGTTTTGTTTTTTGAGTAGAGGGAATAGGTTTAATATTACAAAACAAGTCTTGGCTTGACAGCACAGATAGATGCCTTTGCATGAATGAAAAAGTCAAATCTGGGAGAATGGAGAATGGAAGACCTTAGAGCTTTAGATTTTTCTCTAACATGTTTTATTCAAAGCCTGTTTACCTCTGGATATGGAAATCGGGGACATCCTTTACTTAAAGCCTCTGCAGTGATAACAGCCTAAGTTAGGGCCCCAGCTCCATTCTAGGTATTTGTTGCTTGGTAGGAAGAAAATCAAAACAGTAAGAAATGAGTGGTTTTACCCATAGTAGCTTGATCCTGGTGGTAAGACAGGGAATTGCACCAAAGATCTGACAAATGGTGGGGATTTAAAAAATGCTCAGGATGGTTCTCCCCTCTGTGTCAGAACACATTATTTGAGGCTAAAAGGAGAGGAGACTCTTCTTTATGTACTTTTTAAATTGAACTGTAACTAATACACAATAAAATATACGGGTATTCAGTTCAGTGAGTTTTGACATTTGCTTACATCCAGGTAACTGCTACCCAAAACAAGACACAGACCAACTCTGTCCAATAGCAATATAATACAAGCCACATCTACAATTTTAAGTTTTTTTGCAGCCACATTAGAAAAGGTAAAAAGATACAGGTGAGATTAATTTTAACACTATATTTTCAATCCAGTGTATTTGAGTCATCATCATTTCAACACATAATTAACATAGAAATTATAATTAAAATTCACATTTTCTTTGTAACAAGTCTTTGTTACAAGCATATTTTATAGTTACAACACATTTCATTCAGATGCCAATATTAAAAAAATTGTGGTAGAAAACACATAACAAATGTACTGTGGCCTTCTCTGAAAGGGGTATAAAGTGCTCAGGCTGTGAATGAGTACAGGCTTCTGGAACAGAGAGCTGTCCTTGGGTTTCACTTCCCAGTGACTTTGAATCCTGAATCCCTGTGGTCAGAAGGCAGACTCCTAGAACTTGATCTGAAGACTGAAACTGTAGCTGAGCCTCTATCTGTGTCCTCAACTCATTCTTTGCTGTTTGTTTATTTCTTCCGTGTCCCCAGACCCTAACTTCCTTCCACTAATATTACTGAGAATTTGCCAATGAAGGACAATCTACAGAGTGCTCCCAAGAGAAAGGCATTGTAATCCCTGGAAGAACTTATAAGTCAGTGGAAGACACTTCCAGACACCTTTAAAAACTATGACATAGCCCTCCGACTAGAGGTAGCCTATGGTTAGAGGAAGCTTCCTCAGGTTAGAGGAAGGTACAACATGGAAGTATGGCTAGGAGTTGAGGATGCAAAGAGGAGGGTCTAAGAATGAATAGAGTGTGGGTTAACTGTCAGATGGCCAGCTCTACTATTTATAGGCTGTGTCACCTTGAGCCAATTGCTTCATCTCTCTCGGCTTCTTTGCCATTATCTGCAAAACAGGGATAATACACATATTTACCAGAGCTGTCAAATATTAAACAAAAAAGAATATTAAACATTTGTTGCAATGACTGGCTCATTTGCTCACTCATTCATTCAACAGATATTTTAAAACATCAACCATATGCCAGGTGCTGGGCTAGTTGCTGCGGATACAGCAATAAAGTGAGGTAGGCGTGGTCTGTATTCTCTTAAAGTTTGACATCCAGTTGAGGAGTTAAATTAACAATATTTATTATCATGGGGAGAGGCAGACATGAGAAAGGCCATGGTGCATGGTGCAGCTGAAGAAAAGTGAGAGGTTTAAATCAAGTTTACCTGTGCCTGGAGGGAGACAGGGCTGGAGGTTAGCAGAGGGTGATAAAACTGAAGGAGTTAGATCGGGTCCCCCATCACAGTCTCAATCCTGCTGAAAAAAGTTTGGAAATCTTCAATAAGTTTTCCAATATTTGGGATTATTCAAGTATTTTAATAAAACTAGAATAGACTATTGTTTCTCGTGGGGATAATGGAAGACACTCCAGTTTAATTTGCATTTGCCATGTCTTACCATCCTGATTTCAGACTCTTTAAGATTAGGGAGCATGCTATCCCTGAATCTTCCACCCAAACTGCTTTTGCAGTGTAGCTTAGACTTAGATTCTTCTTGACTCTCTGCATATGTTGGCCAGAACCGGGTCTGGCACAGAATGAATGTTCAATAGATGTGTGTTGAATGGCTGGATGGGAGAATGGATGGATGCCCAAGACGCTGGCAGAGTCAGTCTGGCTATTCCAGGCTCCTCCCACAGGTCAACCCCTGCAGAGAAGAGGCATCTTTCCATTCAACAGAAGGGGCCCTGGCCTAGAAGTTAAGATGTCTGGGTCTTAGCCCTGTCTCTGCCATTCATTTGCTTTGTGATCTTGGGCAAGTCACTTAACTCCTCTGGGCCTGTTGCCCAACCTGCAAAACGAATGGGCTTTGACCTCTGGGATCGCTTCTGTGTTTCACATTTCATGATCATCTGGCTCCCAAGGTTCATTTTCTCCAGTCTCCTGGCCCCTGACACTCACATGTTGTGTAAGCTGCTCACTAGCCTATATTGTGTGGAACTGAACTCAAGCCAATTAAAAACAGAGTACATTAACAAGAGTTTCAGTGAAGATGTCTGATCCCATTGTTGTTGCAAAGGATTAGTGAAGGGGCTGCGAGAGGATTATGGTCTCTGTTGAAACCTGTGTTTAATTATTCGTTCCTTTCTCTGTATTTTCATCATACACCCACTGAGTACTTGACCATTGCTGTGCATGAAGAAGAGGAAGAATTAATCCTCATCTGACCTCTATTTAAATGATACATTTTAGTTTTGACATAGAGTGATTCCAAGTTCTGCCCTGATAAGGCCAGTTTCCGCCACCTTTTTGATCTGTAACACGTTCTGCTTCCTGGTTTGAGCATTGGACTTGGATTTGTCAAGACATGTCCCTCAGCAATATCAGCATTTCTTTTTTGGGACAGTTACTGATTAAGCTCACAGCACTGGGGAGAAAGAACTGAACAGCTAGAAAGATGACAGCCAATGACTATAGGTTTCCCATCCCATTTTTGTCATCTCTCACAAAACTAAAATCACCATAAGAAATCTTTCTGCATATGTAAGAGTCTGTATTTTCAGCCTTGGAATATTCATTCAGTTTTTATGCATCTGATTATGCACATACCAATAACCCTCTAATTTATGGATGCTTGCTATTAGGTTTTGTTTAAATGAGTTCCTTCCAAAAGGAACCAGCCTTCTGTTCTAAAGAGACACGTAAACCACACGAGGTGAATTTTCCTACAACTGATTTCAAATGTGGAGTTTTCAGGGTGTAATTTAGATGTAGCTGTGGTGGTTTATGGCCACAGAAACTGTAGGTGTGTGTGTAGGAGGCTACATGGTACTTACGAATGACTGGAAGCCAGAGAGCAGAGGGAGAGAGCCAGCGGTGGAGATTTTAGCTCAGTTTCACATCTCTACCCCAAGGCATTAGATGCCGCTAATTCTTCAAAAGCCGAAGATTTGTTTTACAGAAGAAATTCTGATTTGATTAAGATATTGCTTCCAGACCTAATGTTCCTTTAGCAAATCATGCCTACATCCATGATTAGAAAAAAACTGCATGTTATCTAAGCATAGAAAAGCCTCATGATTTGAAAGTATTCTACAGAAGTAACATTTAGTGTAATTACAGTACATTTAGATTAATTATAGCCGTGGTTCCGGGCGCCACCATACTTAAGGTTATATCAGCATTTTTGTTTTTAACCCTGCGTGGAGTAAGTTTATCCTCTGGCTGCATATTTTTTTACTCCAGAAAATATTTGAGTTCCACATAATGTGAGACCAAAATTGAATGGCCTTTTCTACTTTTAGGCTAACTTTAAAAAGATATAATTTCAGAGAGGCTATTCTCTTTAAGATTGCTGTTTTTCTGTAGAATCTCAAAATAGGCAGAGATTAATTTTGAAAAAAATGAAAATGGTCATGATGCTTAGATAAGAAGTTGACTTGCTATAAATGGCTTGTGTTTCCCTTTGAAAGGCTTTATCGCATTGGCCATAAAGTAAAACCTGGTTGACATTTAACTGCCATGTCTGTCCAGAACTTACCTATCTGATCTGAGTGTGTGGCTCCATTCAAATTGGGCCCTTAGGGAGGCACCATCTTATTCCAACAGTTCTACCTGACCAGGCAGGTAACAGTTTGAAATTTCATCTTTGTGAATGGTCTTTGGAATCTGTGGCTGGTTCTTTTTTAATATCATTTATTATAAACTCCAGATTTTCATTTCTTGATGGTAGTGGTGATTGTGATTTTTTTGAAACAACCAGAAAGCAATTTGGAGCAAGATTTGGTGAGTAAGGAGGCTGATAAGGTTGAATATAGGTTTTACTAAAAAATGAGCTGTGGCTCTAAGATAATGAGCCTAATTTTCATGCATGGTTCATAACTGTAGCTGAAGGTAATTCCCTCAGAGCAGTTCTAAACATGGTTGAAGAATGCATGTCTCCTTGAGGGTAGTGTATAGTTTCCTCATAGTGTTGCTTCTAAGAGTCAGCATTTATTTAAATGTTAAATGTCTGGTAGTTTCTCTTATGAAGAGTCTCATTGTCTTATAGTTATACATCATGTAAATAAAGGGAGATTTCTTTAAATTCTAAGTATTGGACTGTAATGAAGCTAAAAATTGTTATCACTTACGGCCTATTTTGCTGTTGCTATAATAGAATACCAGAGACTGGGTAATCTATAAAGAACAGAGATTTATTTGTTACAGTTCTGGAGACTGGGATGTCCAAGATCAAGGAGCTGCATCTGGCAGAGCCTTCTTGCTGTGTCCTGCCATAGCAGAAGGTGGAAGAACGTGGTTCCTAACTGTAGCTGAAGGTAAATCCCTCAGAGAAAGAATGCATGAAAAAGAGAGAGAAAGAGAGAGAGCAAGGTGGGAGCAAGGAGAGTGCTGAACTCTTGAAGATATCACCTCTCAACACTCTTGCATTAGAGATTAAATTTCTAACTTTGGGGGAGACATTCAAACTACAACAACCTGTCACGTATAATAAAGGCATTTCCTAAATCTATTATCTTTATACAAATGCATGGAAACATTCTCAAAAATATTTGTTAATGCTAGCTAATAGTTGGCATTTTATTGAGCACTTACCATTAGTCAGGCAGTGTGTTTCCCGTGCTTTAACTGGTTTACCTATGACTTTTTGAGAACCTTAGAGACCCATCCTTTCAAATGGTGCCAATTATATTCACAGAGAGGTTAAATAACTTGTCCAAGGTACACAGCTTGTAAAATGCTGAGCTGGGATGAAAAGTCAGGCCAGTCTAACTCAGGGTCTGCACATTTTGCCACACCTGATGCTTCAATACATTTGATAAACACATGCATCCTGAGTAGAGCCACAGATTACTGCTTCCCAGCATTCTAGCTGTTCTCTTGGTTGATCAAGGCAAAAGGAAGGACTGTTCAGCCATTTATTACAGAGCAAGTTGTATCAAATGAACAAAAGAATCAAGGCAAAAGCAGTGAATTTCTCCAGCCCTCACTTGGTTTTATTTGTCTTTTCCTTTTCTATTTTGCCCTGCTAGGTTATATTTTACCTTTTCACGGTGGAGTTGTGCGGGCGAGTGGCTCTTATCAGGAACAAATGATGCCATAAATCCGGGCTAAAATCAATGAGGTTATGAGCTCTAAGAGTGAGATGCAGTTCTGTGGGCCCAAGTGTTTTCCCTTCTTAACATGCTGCACCTTTGAAGCCAGAAGCCAGAGGCTTGGGTGTTGTTCTATTCGCAGCTAGTTCTGTCATTTACAGACATATATATAGCTGCTCTGTCACTGAGCTGGGTTCCCAATACCCATCTTCCCATTTTAAACAAGAGGAACGTCAAGAAGAAATAATAGAGAGTACGTATGCTCTCATGCCTGTCTCCAAACATATAAGAAAAGAGACAGAAAAGGAAGCGCCAAACAAAACCACCTTTTGGTAATAACACTGTAATGTAAAAATTATAGCCTGGAATTCTTGCAAATGGCTTCATCTTCCTCTCTTGGAGAGACTGGCACCATCTCTTTAGCCTTACTCAGCTAAAGGGAACTGATTTACCAGTGCCAAATGCATTAATTTAGTAAGAAAGAGAAAAATAGCAATGGATGCCATTCAATTTTCTGATGACTGGTTATGGCCATTTTATGAAGTACTGAATTCGCTTAGAGGAAACCCATGAACAGACACCAGGCATCCTAGGTAGTGGCTGTGAGCGAGAAACATGCCACTCAAATACTGTGTCTTCCATTCTCAGCTGTTGGTGCCCTTAGTGTGTGAGATAGTGGTAATAGGAGTGACCATTGAGATTTCCACTCCAAAAAGACAGGTTCAATCCTGTAAGAGAAGCTAGTTTGGCAACTGGAGTTGGCCTGTTCTAGTTGACTAGTTGGGAAAATGGACTTCTTTTCTACTCCCTCATCACACAGATTTCTTGGCTTGGGGAAGGGCCATTACTAGGGTCACAACATTTTAAAAATATCACTAATCAAGATGAATAATATTTTAATGTGGTATTTGTGAAAAATCAAGACGCATGCAGAAAAATCCACAATGAATAAACAATCTGATTTTTTTTTAAACTTTAAGTTCTGGGATACATGTGGAGAACGTTACAGGATTATTACGTAGGTATACATGTGCCATGGTGGTGGTTTGCTGCACCCATCAACTCGTCATCTCCATTATGTATTTCTCCTAATGCTATCCCTTCTCTAGCCCCTCACCCCGTGACAGGCCCTGGTGTGTGATGTTCCCCTCCCTGTGTCCATGTGTTCTCATTGTTCAACACCCACTTATGAGTGAGAACATGCAGTGTTTGGTTTTCTGTTCCTGTGTTAGTTTGCTGAGAATGATGGTTTCCAGCGTCATCCATGTCCCTGCAAAGGACATGAACTCATCCTTTTTTTTATGGCTGCATAGTATTCCATGATGTATATGTGCCACATTTTCTTTATCCAGTCTATCATTGATGGGCATTTGGGTTGGTTCCAAGTCTTTGCTATTGTGAATAATGGTGCAGTAAACATACATGTGCATATGTCTTTATAGTAGAATGATTTATAATCCTTTGGGTATATACCTAGTAATGGGATTGCTGGGTCAAATGGTATTTCTAGTTCTAGATCCTTGAGGAATTGCCACACTGTCTTCCACAATGGTTGAACTAATTTACACTCCCACCAACAGTGTAAAAGCATTCCTATTTCTCCACATCCTCTCCAGCATCTGTTGTTTCCTGACTTTTTAATGATTGCCATTCTAACTGGTATGAGATGGTATCTCATTGTGGTTTTTATTTGCATTTCTCTAATGACCAGTGATGGTGAGCTTTTTTTTCATATGTTTGTTGGCTGCAAAAATGTCTTTTTTTGAGAAGTGTCTGTTCATATCCTTCACCCAGTTTTTGATGGGGTTGTTTGTTTTTTTCTTCAAACTATACTACAAGGCTACAGTAACCAAAACAGCATGGTACTGGTACCAAAACAGATATATAGACCAACAGAACAGAACTGAGGCCTCAGAAATAATGCCACACATCTACAAGCATCTGATCTTTGACAAACCTGACAAAAACAAGCAATGGGGAAAGGATTCCCTGTTGGAAAAACTGGCTAGCCATATGCAGAAAACTGAAACTGGACCCCTTCCTTACACCTTATTCAAAAATTAACTCAAGATGGATTAAAGACTTAAACGTAAGACCTAAAATCATAAAAACCCTAGAAGAAAACCTAGGCAATACTATTCAGGACATAGACATGGGCAAAGACTTGATGACTAAAACGCCAAAAGCAACAGCAACAAAAGCCAAAATTGACAAATGGGATCTAATTAAACTGAAGAGCTTCTGCACAGCAAAAGAAACTATCATCAGAGTGAACAGGCAACCTACAGAATGGGAGAAAATTTTTGCAATCTATTCATCTAACAAACAGCTAATATCCAGAATGTATAAGGAACTTAAACAAATTTGTATGGAAATATCTGATTTTTAAACAAAGACAGGATCTGTAACAGTGCCATTCTGAGCCATATTGAAGCCTGAGGCAAAAGGAAAAAATAAGACATTTCGATTTTTAACAGTATTGCATTAAAATTTCATTTATCTTGATGACAGTTTTTTTCTGGGGGGGGCACCTCCTGTTCTCCTCAAAGTCCAGCTCTAATGCTTTCTCTCTGGGGTTTTACCTGATTTTTCTCTGTACCCCTCGCCACTTCAGTGTGAATGTATTTCACCTCTGGTCATCCATCAATACTTTCTGCAGATCTCCTTATGGTTTCTGCCATGGTAGACCATATTTTTTATGTATTTGAAGTATTTGCGTTTTTTGTAAGACAATGGCTTCCTTGAGGATGAAGTCTATGTCTTTTGCTTTTTGTATCCATAATGCCAGCCAGACATTTTGTAGGTAATAATAAACATATTTGTTGATTGTTAAAAACCAAAACATGAGTGAATGAATGAGTTAAATGAATAAATGAACATAACATTTGAGATTTCTTTTAGCATTTTATTAGTGGATTTACATTTCAACAATTTTCCTAAATATAACCTTGGGTCAATTTTGACCCTTAATTTGGGAAATCAAAGTCTCCTGGAAAGAACTGGCTCTAGGGTATTTTCTCTTATAACCATCAGGCAGGGAGTCTTGTTTGCTAAATGGGTAATGATAAAGTCATCTTCATGAACCTATCCAAGCATTGAACTCATTTTCATTACATAGAAAACTCAAGAGCAATTCAGCATCAAATTAGTCAGTCTTAGGACAGAGATGATATTTTGCTGAGTGTCAGCTTTCAGTTGATGCTTCATCAAGCCTATCTGGCTTTATTCTAGGGTGTGGTCCTTATCCGGGTCCCTGCCTCAGAATCAGGAGTGGGGTGGGCTTCTCTTTCCAGATGCCAATCCTTACCTGTACCTCGTCTCACTCCTACTGAGCCAGGATCTCTAGGGGTTGACTTCTTTGGTCCTAGAAGGAATGCGGTGGAATACACTGCAGCCCTTAGTAATCTAACCTAAATGGTCTGTGTGGCCAAGCTGTTTGGAAGCCTACTTTACTTTTTTGAGGGCTACATTTTCTTACCCATTTTTATGACAGTGATTCAGTGGTGAGTTTCTTTTAGCTGAAATGGTTCAACCAAGGGGAAATAATCTTTTTTACTAAAAGAAAAAAAAAACAGAACCAGAGTGGGGCAAGTTATACAATATTCATGATCACTTCAAATTAGAGAAGTAAAAGTCAATGTTGAAGTGGCCCCTTGCATGTGGAGCTATTATGATTAGGATTCACGGTCTGTGAAATCTAATCCTAGTTGCAGGACACTATGAAATTATTGAACTTACATATGGGAAAATGTTAATGAAAGTGGTGAGTTCCCACCCACTAACGTTGTTGCTTGTTTTAGAATTTAAGACAACAGTTATGCCAGCAAATGACAGCTTTGTTCTGTCTACCTGATGTCAAATGACTGGTCTGACTGATTTCTTTTTAAACCACATTTAATCAATTGTCAAGTCGCTTTGGCATCACACAGACACAGCCTGTGCTGTGCTGGGAGCTGTGTATTGATTTAGTGTTAAGAAGCCATGGCTGAATGGTGAGTAAAAGTCATGCAACACCAGAATATAAACCATGGAAAGAATGGAGACTCATAATCACAGACACTGCTGCTCAGCTTTCCCAAGTTCTTCAGAAAAGTACAACCTCTAGTGTCTCCCCTGGGCCCCTTGTTTTCTGCAAGCAACTCTCCAAAAGATTCTAAACCTCACTCATAGCTACGGGTAACAAGCCACCAAAGGGCCTCAGTTTTGTCTTCTCATGTAAGCAGTCATTAAAACAATCTGTCTAACCATGCTTTCTTCCTTTGCTTCCCCAAGCCCTCTGGAAACCAAGGCTAGAGACATAGGTCAGCTTAACTATTCCAAACAAAACCCCAAACAAACCTGAAGACAACTGAGTTCAGGCTGAAGGTGATTTCATTGTTATTCCCAAGAATAATAGATGTCTCCCTTCCTCTCTCTTCCTCTCTTTATTCCTTCCCCTATCTCTTTTCCTTTCTTGACCTCCTGAAAGGGGCCTGCCAAACTGGAGGCCCTGAACTAGGTACTGGGGGCTCAGTGGGGAACTTGATGCCTGGTTGCATGGAGTTTACATTTCAGTCAGGGTCTGCAGACATGAAAAAAGCCACAAAGAAAGGCACAATCCAGTTTCAGATTGCAATAACTCATCAGAAGAAAGTAAAACAGGTTCCTGTAATGCAGTTACAGAAGAGGAAGAGGCCGACTTTAGCCTTGGTTGTCTGAGAAGGCCCTGTTTGAGCCGAGGCCTGCAGGATGAGAGGAAGCTGGTCAAGTGTGGATCTTGGGGAAGCATTTCAAGGAGACAGCAGTGCAATTACAAAAGGCCCTGAGGCAGGGACATGCCTGGCTTGTTCACAGAATAAAACGAGCCTTGTTAAGGATGGTAACTTTATAGAGGATGAGGTTAGGGATGTAGGCAAGGATCAGACCTGTGGGTACTTCAAAGGGCCAGATAAGCAATTGGAATTTCATTCTACCTGCAATGGGAAGCGTTTGGAGGAGTTTAAGCATGGGCAGGGGGATCTGATTTACATTTTAAAGGGGCACATTGGCTGCTATGTGGGGAACAAAATGTAGGAAGGCAAAGAAGGCAGTGGAGGCCAGCTGGGAGGCTGTCATTGCAGTGGTGTGCACCAAGGCAGTGGCCATGGAAGGAGAGAGAGGTTGGAGGTGGAGTCCACAGAAGTTACTGATGGATCCTGTGTGTGTGTGTGCATGCTGGGGGTGATGGAGGTGAATGAAAGGGAGGAGTCCAGTATACCTTCTCAATTTTTGTGTTGAGCGGCCAAGAGGATAGTGGTGCCATTTGCTATGCTTTATGCTTATATAACTCGGACAGTCCATTGAGATGGTTTTTCACAAAGGACTAATCTTTGCCAAGTAAGTTTTATCTCTGGTGAGACAACAGTAAAATAAAACTATTTGCAGTACTCAAATGGTTGTCTTTTACTAGCAGATTCACACATTCATGTGTAGGATTTCTAACATCTGGGGACTGATTTTCAGCCTGGGTTATCTTCCAGACTGTGAGCTACTTGAGGGTAAATAAGACACCATATCTTATTTCTCCTGGTACTTCTAGTGTCAGTGTCAGTGACCAGCACATGCCAGGTGTTTTATAAATGCTTGTTGAAAGGAAGAGAGGAAAGACAACTGACCCTCTCCAGAACTTGACTATCTTTTGTTTCTAATGCTTATCATGACAATGAAGAGGACACAAAAAGGAAAATAAAATAAGGGCATCTCTGCAGATTAGGAAGAAAATTTCAATATATCCTGAAGGGAAAAAATATGATAGAACAAAACAACAGACATGCTGTAGATCACTTCTTCCCTCACTGTTGAAATATTCAATAAATCTATAGCAGCACTTACCTAACTGTCTGGTAGTATCTTAGTATTTAGGACTAAATTTCAACTCAGTTGATCCTTTGAATTCAATCCCAGATAAGTTTTAAATATATATGTTGTTCATGTCTGAGACACTTAGGATGACAGGTATATTATCATTAGGCTATATTCAGTAACTAATAAAGAAATTATTAAGAAAGGGAAGTACAAAATGCCTATGTAATTGTAGAGGAGCTGCCTCATTCATTTGATGCAATAGAGTCAGTGAGCTGTCTGGAAGAAAAACTATTTTCCTCCAAAGCATTTGGTAGTTCCCTCTTGATTTGAAAAAAAAAAAAAAAAATCAACGTTACTCTGCATGCCATTTTGGAGGCGTTTTGACATGGCCGAAACCTGCCTTTCCTTTTTTCACCCCAGCCTCTGCTCTGCCATTTTACACCATTTTCCATTCTTAATTGCTTACTCTTCTGTGCCTTTAGTCTTGCTCTTCCAGTGGCCAGGAAGATATCTCCCTCACTTTCTCTACTTCAAGTAGCCTAATTATCCTTCAGTGCTCAGCTCAGATGCAGTCTCCCCAAAGCAGCCTTCCTGGACTTCCCCAGGCTGAATTCATACCTTCCTCCATGTTTCCTCTGCTTTGTATTATGTGCAGCTTTTATGGATGCCTCCTACAACTACATTGTATTTATCTTCCACAGTTCCTAGGTAGCACATTCCACACAGTAATACTCAATAGAGGTTTATTGAGTGCTTAAGTGGAATTGCTTTAATGTCATGGTCCTGTTTCTTATTGTCTTCCTCTGCATCAGAAGGAGGACATGTAGAATTGGCTGCTCTTTGCTTTTTACAGCAGGTCAAAATAAATGCAAGCTCTGACACATTACATGGAATTGAAATTAAGAAGAAAGAGTATGATGCTTGTTATCAGTGGAATCATGGGCATGGTAGGAGAAAATTATGCTAGTGACAGGACTGCTAGTCTCAACCTAGGAAACTGGCAGTAGTTGGCTTTGTGACTGCAGCCAAAGATTATACCATATTATATTAGTTGAATGGTTGAATATATATCTGTTCTTGAAGGAATAGTATGTAATTAATCTCTAGTTTTTAAAATATATTTATGATAAGAACTCTGTTTCCCCTGTATTTTATTTTTCTTAGGTTGTTAAAAAAAACTACTGACATCTTTCAAACACTTTACTCAATATTCCCCCAAAAGCATCAGCAGCAAAAGTTTATGAATATTTTTATTAGAGATGATTTGGATTTTATTCCTGCAACACAGAGCTAGAAAAATTTTAAGGTCATTAGCCATAAGAGTTTTAAATACATTGTCATTCGAGTATGTTAGTTTTAGCTTCATAGTTCTCTGTTATCTTTAGCTTTTCCCATTTTTAAGTTAATAATGATAAAAATAAATTTCATACTTATTAGCTTTTTTCATCCTAAGGTGTTTAACAAACCTTAGGGGTACAAATATAATGTGTAGCAATCCATATGCTTGCTCATAGGTTTATGGCCCTAAGAGCATCATTTGATCACAATTATTTTTGTTTCATTGACATTCCACACAATCAACTGAAGAATTGGGTCCTAAGTTACTGGAAAAGTACAAGTAGAAACTCTTGTCTAGCCAGTTAACGTGTCTTTGAATATCTTTATTTCTATTCTTCCTTCCTTTCAACAACCCTTTGTTACATAACAGCTATGGTTGGGTTCAGAGCCCAAGACTAGGGGTATAAAGATCAACAAGGTTGTTAAAAGTTCATATATATATATATAAAATATACATGCATATCTATGAGTTAGGTTAAAGGTATATATAAATATGTGCGTGTATAGTTAGAAGTATAAATGAGAAGTACATTGTCAGATGTGTATACATATCCTTAGTAATTTTAATTTCCTAATTGTTTACTCTCTGCCAGGCACTGTGCCAAATAGTTTATGTGCATCATCTCATTTAACACTTGCAACAACTCTGTGAGGTATCATTATCGTATGGTGCAAATAAGAAAACCAAGACTCAGAAATATTATTATTATCTATTTTGCCCAAGTCTGTCAGCTAACAGTTGTCACAGTCAGGGTTGAAACCCAAGTGTGTCTGACTTCCAAGCTCATTCTCTTTCCCTATGTTTTTAAGTGTCTCTGGTTGAATCAGATGCTGATTTCTTCCCAGAAGTCTAGATTCAGAATTAAAGGAACAAAAGAATGAAAGTATTAAAATGGTTGCTTGAATATCAAAACTGGATGGTCATGAATACCAAAGATCTATTTGTTTTATTATATATATATATGCTCTGGCAATCCTGCATTGGAGTAGAGAGTCAGTTCTCAGACAATAGTTCTCTATTTGAATCAGAGCAATGAAATGCAGCAATTCAGTGACAGTTGCATCCCCCTTAGGTTCCCCAACTGAAGACCACCTTCTGGCTGGATTACTTTATGGTGTGGTCCTTTTGGTACTTCAGTAGCTAAGAAAGTGTTTTCAGATTAATAAGATGTTGAAACACCAGATGAGCCATCAAGGGGTGTGCAAGGTCTCTATCCTTAAGAATCTCCATGTTGAGAAAACTGTTCATCCTAGATAGCTGAACCGTTCACCTCTTGGGATCTTTGACAATTCTGTGATTTTTGCAAGACATGCACACTTATCAAGTTAATTTCACCTTAAGCCAAAATCTCCTTTGTAGCTCTTTATAACCAAAGTGCCAGCAAATCAACAAGGTGTCTCTGACCACCCTTGGACTGGATTAGACTCTCTATTAGGCACTTGTGGTACTTTTTGCTTCATAGTATTTCTTACTCTTAGAGTTCAGTGATTATTTGTGTAATGCCTGTCTGCCATGCTGGACTATGAACTCCAGTTGGACAGAGACTGTATTTGTAATGCTCAGTACTCCACCTTACCTGCGGTGCTTAACCTTGTGGCTGGCAAATAGCAGGAAGTCAATATATATTTATTGATGGAAAAATAAATGACTGAAATTTAATAGAAGACTGAACACATACAACCATGCAGCGGATTTAGTGTTGATTTATGCTACAGTGATTCTCATTCTTAATATTTAAGCACACCCCTAGTTCAATACCTCTTTCATGACCTAACAGCTCTAGGGGTTTTATGTGATGGAGGGCAATTCTGTTTGCTTGGTGATTACAAGAGGACAGATACAATATTTACTAGCCTTAGCAATTCCTGAGCAAATGTGGTCCCTGGAGAAGGGAACATAGTAATAAAGCAGGGAAACCTAGCCGTTATCTTGAAGCAAAGCCACACAGGCATCAAGGCTGCAGCTCGCATTCCTGTGGTCTGGAGCTCTGGAGTTTTCAAGGGTTATTTATGGTGACACTGATGAGACACTTCATTTAAATACTGTAACTGCTGAAGTATCCCAGAATGAAAAACTCAGCTTACGGTGGAGTCAATACCTTGTTATTTCTTTTAACTCTCTGATATACCATTGTTTCAAGGATTTACACTAAAATACTTGAGTCTTGAGTCCTAAAATGACCCAAGAGAGATAAACTGACCATGGCTGCCTCCTGTACATAGGATTTGGTTTCTTAAAATGAAGCTCACTCTTATCTTTACTCAGCCCATTGTTCTTTAATTGGTCAAATGACGCTATAAATGAAGGACTTTGATAGCAAAAAATAAATGTTTTATACATTGCTAGAAAAAGCTTTAGGAGAAAATTTTAGCAAAAGAACAGATTCTTTCTTGTTTCTATAGAAACCAGTAGTGATCAGGAGGAGCGAGGTGTTCTTTTAAGCATACACATTAGTAAGGCCAGCTCAGCAGTCTCCAGCATACTGGAGAGCTGGAGTCAGAGACCCACTAGCTGGGGGAGTGCCTCTGTCTGAGTCCTTTTGATATCATTGGGAGTTGGGGACATCTTGCTGGAAATACCTGGTTCCTCATAAGCTGAGTAGGGTTGCAGTCCACAGTCACTCAGCATCATAGAGCCAGAAAGGTTTTTAAAGGAATCTCCTGTCAAAAGGGGAGGAAAAAGATAAACATAGGAAAGCTTTAATATCAGATGTCAACAGGCCTTTAAACATGCTCTTTACCACTGAGCAATAAATACCCTGGTTGAGTCCTGACCAGATCACTTATAAACTGTCCAAAGTACGCATTCGAATCATTGGATTGTATGACAATTTGTTTCCCTTTTGGTTTGTCTACTTCCATAAAATCTTTAAAAAATGAAATTTGAATTAAATGTATCTTTTAAAGTTAAATTTCTAGAGCTGTTAGATTCCTGACAAGTGAATGTTGGACAAGACTTACAATCAAATTCCAAAGCAAATACTTTTCTAAAGCCTAATCAGTACTACAGCTTTCAATGATTTCTCTAGTCTTTTAAATGAAGTTTAGGTCAAATGTAATGACAGGATGAAGCAGATGCATTTTGCTTCAACCTGACATGCCCCAGAAGGTAAGAGAAATATCTGGTAACTGACAAAAGAGTTTTCTGTTTGCTTGACATTTACTTTGTATGTAAATAATCCAGTATATTGGCATGTCAATATATTAGTTAGTGGTGGCCCAAAACATGATGCGAATTTAGATAGTATTTCTTTCTGCTCACAAATATACACTCTTGATCAACAAGAGAACATTTATTGCAATCTTGCCTTGCAGTTGGCAGAGCAGAATGAATCGTTTTGAAATATAAACTTCCTCAGATCTAAAATATATCACAGGAAAACACAAGACATAAGGGGAGTGGATTATGAAATAAAAGGAGCATATTTCGTAATCTATAGGTTATAATCATTAAAGATTGCCATTAGTAAGATGCTGGGCCAAATGTGTAAGACTACATTTGGTAAGCAGGTATGAAAAGCTCATGATTTCCTTGAAACTGTTCTTTGGAAGCAACACTGCATTGTGGAATGGTAAGAAGTGGCCCCTTACTGGCTGTGTGACCTTGGGTAAGTCACTTTCCCTCTCTGACTTCAGTTTCCTCATCTGCAAAATGGTAGTAGTAAAAATGATGGTGATGGTGATAATGATCATGATGATGAGGAGGAGGAGGAGGAGGAACAGAAGTAGGAATAGGAGGAAGAGGATTTCTCTATCTAGGGTTGTAAAATTTAGATAAGAAAATCTAGAAAACTCTGCATATAGAAGATGTACAATGTGAGTCATATTCCTTTCTACTTTCCCTAAGAACAAACCATGTTAGTACTTAACATTTCGCTTTTACCAAGCTTTTAGCGGTCGTTTCTTTGCTATTCAATGAGAACTGAAGTTTTGCTGAAATATGGGAAAAGTAACCAAACATCTCTAAAAAACAAAACAAAGCAAAACAAACAAAAATACAAGGAGTAAGAAATATGCCATATTTTCTAGACACATTTTATTTCAGTTTTTTCCCCTGGGTGTAGAGTTAGGGTGCAAAATCTATCAAATTCTTCTATTAATTTTAAATTAAGAAATGTGGAGATTTGCTATGTTAGAACCAAAGCTTTCCTGATTCTCTGAGGATAACTGTGTGTGTGTTTGACCTCTAGAGCTGAAGTCACGGTGTTAGCCCCTTGTGACATTAGTGTTCAGAAGCTCTTTCTATGCATGGATAAATCTTGGTTGTCTAGCACAGGTTGTGAAACATAATAGGGGCTCATTAAATATTTGTTTAATGAATAAATGAAATTATTATGCAATAAAATTAAAAATGTAATGTTTACCAAACTACTCTCAGTACATTTGTTTCAGTGATTTTTTCATACAATCATACATGATATCAGACCACATGTAATATATATAAAAAGGATAGCTGTCAGTAAAATGGAAAGAATCCTTGTCTCCATCTCACTGGCTTGATTGATATATACTCATATCCAATATTTCCTATAGACAGGCTACCATAATTAATTTGATTATTCTTTCACATAATTTTGATGGATCAAGATGCAGACGATTTATAATTTCTACCAATCCAAAGTGTACAGTGTATGTTTATTTTGGTCTGTAATCTCCAAACAGTCATTGTCATCATCATCAAGCCTACTTTGAACCGTACAAGCTACATAGTGTCACATCTACATGGTTATAGACCCTCAGTATGCTTAAGATGAAATTTCATATCACCCAATAAGAAATCTTCATTATTTATTAAGAATGAGTCAGGAAGAGAAAGCAGTTGTGATTTCTTGGCTTATTTCTCTGACAACCTCTTCAATTTGAACCAAGCAATCATTACTCATTTTTTAATACACACCACACACATAGGTGGATCAAGATTTGAAGTCTCATAACATTTAGTAAAGTAGAAATACGCATCTTCGTAGAAGAAATGTGGAATGTGTACTTGTATTCTTCCTTTTCATTTCAAAGATAGTGCTGCTTACAACACTGATGATCTGGGCATGCAGATGTGACTGAAAGGGTCTGTGTAATGACAATCCTTCTACCTGAGACACAGGACGTTCTCCCTTTGCATAGGGCCTGGTGCTTTGTATTGGTTTCCTGGAGCTGCTGAAACAAAACACCACAAATTGGTGTGGCTTAGAACAATAGAAATGTTTTGTTTCCCAGTTCTAGAGGCTATAACTTCAAAATCAAGGTGTTGGGAGGGCTATGCTTCCTCCAAAGGTCCCAGGAAAGACGTGTTCCATGCCTCTTTCCTAGCTTCTGGTAACCGCATCCGTTCCTTGGATTGTTGATCCATCGCTCCAATCCTCCACCTTTACATGGCCATCTTCTTCCTGTGTCTTCCCATCCTCTTGCCTCTATGTGTGCCTATCTGTCTGTCCAAATGTCCCCTTTTTATAAGGATACTAGTCATATTGGATTAGGGCTGACCCTAAGACCCTCATCTTAACTTGATCACCGCTGAAAGATCCCTATTTCCAAATTAGGTTACATTCTGATGTGCTGAAGGTTAAGACTTAAACATATTTTTTTGGAGGGGGTGGAAACAATTCAATTCATAACAAATTTTCATACTAAAGTTTGTTCTTTGCAACTGCACCTCTGGCACTTGTGGTATAGATGAAGCATTAGCTCAAAAAACCCAACTGTATTCTTTGGAGCTGCTTTTCTGGGCAAGCCTGTGGACTACTTAATTGTTATCAAAGTTCTACCATTAGGCCGCTTGACTTGAAGCCATGCTTCTGTGGATTCTTAAAGATGACACTTCTGCCCTCCTGCCTATGATTACTGTGCATGATTAGCTGCAGCATTGCTTTCCAAATGTTCCAGAACTTGGCATTTCCAGTAATTTAGCTTGGACTGGTCTCTACTCTGCACCACCCGCTACCCCCAACTGCAGCTCATCTGGGTTCGTAAGTTTGGGTCTGAAAGATATCAAGAAAATTTAAACTTTGGGGCACATTTTCAGTGGGAAAACAGATGGAAAAGCTGTATGGGAGTGTAAAGTAAAAGATTGTATTGATCAAAGAGAGGAATTCTCAAAGTCTTGTAGCTAAACTTATTCCTGTGGGAAAAGCTGCTAACCCAAATCCTCCTAGACAAATAATGCCAATTAAAAAAAGGCACTGAGTTCACTGGCTTAAAAGCAGTCATTCTCAAGATAGTATTATCATTTTAAAGCTTCTAAAAGCTTTCTGGGAAGCCTGAGTCGGTTCATTGTCCTAAGGACAGATGGACACCTGATAAAGTATTTATGGCCCAATCTAACTAAGGATCAGCACAGGGTCAAAGGGCCAGTGATAATAGGACTAATATCTCTAGATCCACCTACATATAGGAAGCACTTTCTAAAAGTTATGAGAAAAAAGATTATTCAGCCTGAGGCATTAGCAACTATTTTGATTAAATATTGGTAGGGAGCTTAAAGGTCATCATCAAGTAAGTGAAAAGACACATCACAGAATGAGAAAAATATTTGTAAACCATAGATCTGATAACATACTAGCATCCAGAAAAGACAAAAAAAAAAAACTGTTACAAAATAATTCAATTAAAAATTGGCAAAGCATCTGAATAGATATTTATTCAAAGTAGATACACAAATGCTAATAAATACATGAAAAGACACTGAATATCTTAGTCATCAGGGAAATGCAAATATTAATAAAAACCATGAGACACCACTTCACACCCACTAGAATCACTATGCCCAAGAAGATACACAGCAACAAGTGTTGGCGAGGATGTCGCGAAATTAACACCCTTTGCTTGTGGAAATGTATTAAATAAAATTATGCAGACACTGTGGAAAACAATTTGGGAATTCCGCAAAAAGCTAAATATCGAATTTTCATGTGACCCAACAATTACGCTTCTAAGTATACATGGAATAATATTTAAGACATATGTCCACATAAAAACTTGTACTGGAGTGTTCATGGCAACATTACTTGTCACAGCCAAAAGTGGGAATGACTCAAATATCCATCGACTGATGAATGGACAAACTAAATGTGGTCTATCTATACAAAGAATATTACTCAACCACAAAAGGAAGGAAGTACTGATGTGTGTCACAATTTGCACTACAATTTGGATGAACATTGAAAACATTATGCTAAGTGAAAGAAAAAACAGACATAAAAGGTTACATATTATATGATTCAACTTATATAAAATACACATAATAGGCAAATTCATAGAGTGGTTGTCAGGGGCTGCTGGGAGGGGAGAATGTAGAGTGACTGCTAATAGGTACAGGGTTTATTTTTGAAGTAATAAAAATGTTCTGGAATTAGATAGTGGTGTTTGTTGCACATCTGTGAATATGAAAGGACTACAGAATTATCGACTTTGAAATGGTAAATTGTATTATCTATGAATTATATCTCAGGAAAGTTTTTAGAAAAACAGTTTCACTAACTAGCTTTAACATTCACTGATGATTCTTTGAAACAGCAACTAGATATATTGTTTACAACTTAGACCAACAATTTTTATTTCAGAAAGAGTATTTTATCATTGGCATTTAGAATTGCTGCTGCATGGTGATGATAAATAGCAGACAGACTTAAAAATTGTTAGGGAAATTATGTTAGAAAACATTAATCACTCTAGTTTTGTAAGAATTCACCCAGCTTCCAGAAAAAGATACACAGGCTGGTTTCAGTGGTGGATCAACCAGCAATGACAGTCAAAACTTTGTAGTTTGCTGGCTTTTCAGTTGTAAGGTCAGCCATGGACTCCATGAAGCCTCTGGGACCCTGATCCCCAGCACATCCACTAGAGGGGGAGCAAGGGAGACAGAAGAAACATGCAATGAGTGGTCTTGGGGTGGCTAAAAGCCTGGGGGAAGTGCTATATGGAGTGGATAGGAATTTGAACTTCTAGACCAACGTATAGTTTCCGGATATTGTGAGTGTCTGTGGAATGCGATAATCGATACTAACCTCTTGGTCTTTAAAATGGTGATAAAGACTTTTTTTTTTGTCCTCAAGAATCACATGGAAAGCACCTTAAAATTAGAATCTGTTTGCATTGGACATCAGGGATCTTTTAAAATTACATTTTAAGAAAAAAACATGTGGAGGAAGGTTAAATTTGATGTGAACAATCCTTGAAAACCAACTGCAGACATTTAAGGTTAACGTGTCTTATTCCCACAACATAGGCAACTTTAGTGTTTTTTGCAGTCATGGAAACAAGTTTGGGTTAAATGATATAGAGATTTGAAGCTTTACTCTTTGAAGTGAAGCTAAAAGATAGAACAAATGGAATATTTCTTGTATTTGGGGAGAAAGAAAAATCATGATTCCACAGTAAAGTTAGTATTAGCGGTCATGTTCCGATGTGACAATCCAAACTAGAAATGTGGGGCAAATTTCTATTTCTGAGACTCCAAATTAAAAATCTTGGAGCTGGATTTTTTCACCCTTAGCATCGTGTACTCTGCCTTGATAAGGAGGAGACAAAGGATAAGCCAACAATCTTTTAAGATAATAAATATAGAGAGATAGTTGAGATTTAACCCAATCTATATGTCTCACAGCAACATCAGGGGTTTTGATGACCTGAATCATCCAAAGAAAGAATAAATATTGCTCAGTAAGGATTTAATAACAACTAAATTTTTTTTATTGTCTGAGTCATGGAAATCAGTAATCCTTGTCTATAGTGTACTGATGGCTCATGAAAACATTAATTCTCAACAATATATAGTCAATTCCCACCAATCCTAAAAGCAGATTATCTAATATGTAGATTATTTCTGGCCCTTCTGCCCTAGTGACAAAGGGAAAAGTCGGGCCTTTGTGAATGGATGTGATTGAATAGCTCTATAAGGGTTGGTGTCGACAAGGCCAAAGTTAGTGGATTCTTCATTATGATTCATGGCCTCTTGTAGTCAGAAACACCCAGCAAACTGAGCCATAACCACAGCTCTGGGTTTGGTTGCTTTGATCTTAGTCAATGACCTGGAAATCTTTCTTAATAATAGGAGCACACAGATTCATTCTGTAGCACAGCAAATTGTTTATTCTTGTTTGGGTCAAATTGTTTAGGGAAGGGGTTGTGACTGAGGATCTTACTTCTGGAGGCAAGGAATGGTGGGCTGAATTTATGGTACTCTTTCCTGCCCTGCCCTTGTGCTTCATGAAGATGATGGCACAACAGCTGTGGCCTTAGTCTTTACCCAACTGCTAATATCTAATAATAGTTACTACCATTTACTGGGTACTGGACTGTGACTTTTACTTACCTTGTCGTTTAACTCTCAAGAAAAAGCTAAGAAGTACACATTATTGTTTCCATTTCAGGGATGATGAAACTGAGAGTCTGAGAAGTCTGTAAGTATAGTATCAGTAACTGCTTTCATTGGAATATTGTGCAGATTCATAAATACATACATAGTGCTGGGGTGTGTGTGTGTGTGTGTGTGTGTGTGTGTGTGTGTGTGTGTGAGAGAGAGACTGAGCACTGGACACTGTGCCTGGGACAAGAGAAGCACTAAGTAAATGAGAGTCACATTTTTTTTTGTCCGACATAGCACTGACTATTTTGCCAATGCCTACCTAGCAGATTCAATAGGTAATGGTTGAATTGAATTAAAATCTCACTAAATATTTTTCAAGTTGGCTTTCCTTCTGTAATTAGCTTTCTTACAATTTGAGTGGTAATTGGTTGATGGAAAGAATAATTAATAATAAAGGTTGTTTATTTGTGGGGTGAGCATTTATCACTGTTCTCATTTTCACTCTTTTCCATCAGCATTTAATTCACGAAAAGGAGTATAAGTTAACTATAGAGAAATTATATTACTGAATATTGAATGGCAATTACAATACATAATATGTTTTCCTTTTAATTAGCAAATAGACTGTTCATTATGTTTTAGATAATTGTTACATATCACTTCATTTTATTTCTTTATCATTTGTGGCAGGTGATTACGTTTCCACAGGGTATAATTTTTAATCACATTATTTTGAAATTTGATTGCAAGATTATGCAGTACAGAATTCAGTGTATTCAAATCACCCTGAATCTCTCACATTCTTTGCTTCTGGAAAATTTGCCCTTCTTTCTTCTTCCCTGAATATGTATGATAAGCAAGAATTCAAAATTAATGAAGCCCAGTACTGGTGTAAATCTCTCTAAATTGCTCATATTTAGAGATCTTTGAACTTGAACTCAGAAACTTCAACTTGTGTCCCATTGCAATAGCCATCTCTTTTAAAATCAGTCTTTTTTTGCTAATAAATGCAAATAATGTGTAAGTGCAAATAATAAATTATATAATAAAATAGAATAGAATATATAATTATCTGATATTATAATATTATATATATAATAAATACAAATAATAACATTTCTGACTCCTCAAGGAGCTAAATAGCATGTGGTGTGTTGTTTCTAGCTTTCTTCTCTCCTGTCTTTGAGTAATTGGGCTGATCATGCCCGTTGTTGCCTGCTATGGGATTGACACTGCAAGTTTAGCTATGACAAGAATTCAGTAGCAGTGTACAGGTTGCTTGAACACAGACAGACCTCCCTGCTTCTGTTTTGGTAATGTTTATAATGAAGGAAAGATCATAGGCAGCAGCACCTATTACAATTATTGTTATATTCAGGCATTGGCAGATATGGCACCCAGATGCTTTGCTGCAGTTTGTCTTAATAACTGGATTATCTGATTTCCTACAAGTTCTGCAATGACAAAGTGGCAGCCTTTGGGGGAAAGTTTCATAGAATGAGCACTGTTTTAGGCAAGGCAGCCAACTTGGTTTAAAATCAGATCCTATCAGAGGAATGAGCAGAGTCTACAATTATAGGTCATACAAAGATTGTGAAGATATTAAACGTGAAGCAAAACTCTTTAATTTCCTTATTTAATTTTGTTCTGAGGAGTTTAAATAATACTGCTTAATGCTATCAGGATGATGTCAGTACTTCGAGGAAATAACTTTCCTATTTAGACTTGGTCATGCAGTCTGTTTAACAGCTATTTCCTTTATAATGGCATGTTGCATTTCCCAGCATTCCTTAGGGCATGCAAGGAGAACGGCATGGTCTTCTTGAATAATTAATATGGTTTTCTGAGCAGTAGTCATGGAAACCCAAGCAGTGTCACATATTTGGATTATAAGAATTAGGCACATTTTGAATATAACGTTTAACCGAAAAGGTGGCTACCCACCAAAAACGAAAGTCTTTTTCCCAATTCCCCTAGTTTAGCGACATGAATGTGGTTTGGGGTGTGTGTGTGTATGTGTGTGTGTGTGTGTGTGTGTGAGACAGAGAAAAACTAATCCTTGCTTCATAATACAATTATTTTTATATTTTTGTGTTTGAATTGCTTAATTGGTTCTCTTCGCTCTATTTTTGAATTCTCTGTTTAATTGAAATGTTTTCACATGCAAGCTTCTGTTTTCATACTTTATCTAGGGCTGCTCAGTCACAGGTTATTACTTTTTTATTAAAGAGAAAATGTAGAACTTAATTTACAATAAAATAGCATAGACCACTCACTGTCTTGAGTATCTCTAAGGTATCACATCCTTTCTAATGCTGCCCCAAACCTCTGATGTTATTAGGTTGTAAGATTTTCAAGTGTGTTAGACAATTGCTATTCATGAAAAAGCCTAGTGTTACTGCGAAGTTTCTAGACCTGCTCTATTAGACCAGTTGTATATATGGTTCTTTTATTTGTCTCAAAAAGTGTCTCTTCAGAATCAATATCGTCATTACCTTGGATGTGTGTGTGTGTGTGTGCGCGCACACACGTGCGCACAAGTCAACCAGGCAATAGCAAAAAGCTATCATCCAGTCTTCAGTAATGGTGTACGTGAAAAGAATAAAAATAACTGGAAGTTATTTATAGAGTATAAACCCTCTGGTTTCATAAACCGTGTATGCTGCTATTTGCTCAGTTTTATTCCACAAACAACTGCAGTGTCTAAGGCTCCCAAACCTCTGCTTTCCTAGACTGATGAAGGAAGTGATTAGTAATACCATTAACAAATAACAGAAGAGTAAAAAGAATAAAGGGAAGCAAAGATTTCTTTTTGTTACTACTTCTAGTTTTCTGCCTATTTAAAATTGTCTTTCTTACAGAAATGTGCCATCTCATGGAAGGAAGCCCACACATGTTTGAACTATTTTCTTTTGCACTTTCATTTGTTAAATGTGCATAAATAGTGGGGATCTTCCTCGGAGCTCCAGATTTTTCTCTCATCTTACACTGATCCTTTCTCTATGGTGAATATGCTCAGCGGCATCATCTTTTTTCCCCCAAATGCCTTTACAACAAGGTATTACTGTGTCTCACTTGCATTAGGGCCCACCTACTTTGCACCCCTGAGGCTGTGCCTGTGCTTTCATTAGGATTCCAACTGCATCGCTGGCCAGGCTTCCATCCATCTGTTGATAAGTTGCAGCTCCTCTGCGATTCTTTTTGGAATTACCAGGCAAATACTGGACTGATGCTTCAGCAAATCCCCAAATTCTTTCTTTATTTTTATTTGGTCATGTGTTACACTTACTTTCACTCTTGGCCTTTAACTTTTCTGTGAACTGACTTAGTCAGAAAATTCCAATTGGAGGTGTCTTTTCTTATATCATTTTGCTTGTGCTTTTAGGTTTTGGAAATTTGTAGTCCTGTGCTTATGAAGTTTACCTGTTTGCAAGGGCTTGTTGACTTAATCCCGTATTATCTCCACTTTATCCCTTAGGCTCTCTCCCTGACAGTCCCTTTGGTTGTTTCTTAAAGGCCAAACTCATTTTGATAACTTCCCAGCATCCTTCTTCTGCCTCATCATTTTTCTAGATTATTTCTTTGAGGACTCCACTTAAGAGTCATCTCTTCCTCTTTCATGGTACCAGCCCCTCCCAGTCTGAACCAAGTGCCCCATGTATAGACCATGGCATGACACTAATAGGTGCGTTGAAGGGATCAGCTTTTATGTTTCCCCTGCTGCCTGAAAACTTTGAGGTTCTTGAAAACAAAGACTGTATGTTATTCATTTTTCTATCCTCAGACCTTTGTACATTGTTCATCACATAGTAGGTGCCCAATACATGTTCCTGGCAATGTTGGTTCCATGTTAAAGGTTGTTAGGCTGCTTCATTTTCTTACTGTGGATTATTTTTGTTATCTATAGATGCGTTCTGTTTTGGGGGAAAAAACATCATGGGATACTTGGAGACATATCTGTCATGTAACTAGCACTTTGCAGGGCAAAAATATTTGAATATGGACTGTGAAACATTGGTTGAACGAATTAGTTTTTTCTTTAATGTGTGGAGGGCATCCAGGGACATAAATGTTAGACTCTAGACTTTTAGGCAAATGTTTTAGAAAGGCACCCCTCCCCAGTGAAAATAAAGTCACCATTGTCACCTTAATTAATTACAAATAAAAAGGTCTTACTTTGAGGTGGGTTCCACTAGAAAGGATGCCTTTTCCCAGAGGCTGAGCTCAGTTGCAGATTTTGTTTCTAGGCTACACGTTAGCCATGCCTGTTAGCATGGCAGCTAAGTTGTTTTGAAGCATCAGACATTAGGGCTCTTGTAAACTTATAGAAAATGTGTCTATGATCAGGAATGTAAGCACTCTTTGAGTGATCCAGCAGCAGACAGAATCAAATAGTAATTTGGAATAAAAGCATTTTTGTTGTGATAATTAAGCACCATTGTTAGATTCCATACGCTGAACTGAAAACCCACGTATGTCTGTAATTGATGGCTGAAATGGTTGAATATAGCCTCCGTATTTGTTACCAGATTGGCTCCAATATATTTGGTCTGTAAATAACATTGGAGTAGTGCACACATCTATAGGGAGCTAAGTTTTACCTGAGATGCGCATGCACAATTTTCTCTGAGTTCAATGCAAGGCCAAACACAATTTAGTTTGGTGAATAACAGGCTTTTATCAGCAGCATGTATATCACAGCTACACGTTTTGAAAAATAAAGCGATTGTTGTCATTTGCCATAGTAAAAGAGAGTTGTCTGTTGTAATATATTTAAATGATGCTGTTAGTCATTTATGCCCCAACATAAATGCTGTTTCATGTTTGTTTTATTAAATATAGTAGTATCGAAAGAATATTTTGTTGCTCAAAGACCTACATGAAAACTGGACTAAATAAAATTAAGGAGCTATCACTGCATGCAGTGTGTGGAAACCAAGTAAAAAGTTTGATGTTTTGTTACTGTGACTGGAAAACTCGTCATGAAACTGACAGCTGAGCTTTATTAAAGCATTTAATGTGCAAGATGGCCAAATAGACATGATAAAATATGAGGATTTCTTTAGAGTAAATAATTTGAGGTGCTATGAAGGACATGGAGGAGTGGCAGAATTCAGCCTGGAGTTCTTGTGTGTACTAAGAGTGAAAAAGGGAGGTAGGTCAGCGTCTCTTTTGCAGTCCCATTAAACTAATTTCCTTTGGGTCAGGCATCACTATTGTGCAGATAGTGCATGATTTTTAGAGATAACATGTAACTTTGCAACCCTCTCTGCTGCCAAGTTGGTAAGAGCTCAGAGACTGCAAACTGAGCTGAACATGCTATGCTGTTTATAAACCAAGGTGCATCTGTGGAACTAGTACTTTAATACTTGTCCAAGTAGTGCTGCATTTGCCTGGATACACTTGCCCATTCATATCCAGGGGCTTTTTGCCCAGTGCCTCCTATTTGCCAGATGGCTGCTACTGGTTATGAGTCAGTGAAGCCTGTGGTTATCAAATTGAACTCAGCTTCTAGGAGGCTCTTAGGGGGCTTATCCTTGGAACCAGCCCATCCACCTTTTGTAAAAGAACCCCCAAGTAAAATATCCGTCATTGGATATTTATTTAAGGGGAAAATAGGTAAAATAAAATGAAAAATATTATCTTCCTATTCTTTTAGCCAAGTCTCTTAGCACGGTAGCTAAGCTGTTTTGAAGCATCAGACAACAGAGCTCTTGTAAGTGTAAAGAAAATGTGTCTAGATCAGGAATGCAAGCACCCTTAGAGTGATCCAGCAGCAGACATAATCAAATAGTAATTTGAAATAAAAGGATTTTTGTTGTGATAATGAAGCACCATTTTTTCATTCAGATGAAGTTGTAGAAAAGACCAAAACAAAATTTTAAAGAAAATTATTTGAAGTTAGGCACATTTTTGAAGAAACAAGTTCATAACAGTTTTATATATATATATGTGTGTGTGTGTGTGTATATATATATGTGTGTGTATTTTTAAAAAATAAGCTTAGGTAAGTGGGTTGAAATAAAATAATTGTACTTCTTAATGTAAATAACAAATCAATTTTATACTATTATTACAGCTCTTAAAAAACTTTTTATTTTGACATACAGAAAGTTATAAGAATCATGGAAAGAATTCTCATATCCCTATTACCCAGATTCCTATGTTGACATTTGTACCACATTGCTTCCTTCTTCCCTCTCTCACAAATATATACATATATGCACCTCCTACACACAAACATATGTGTATATATACACACATATATACACATATGTGTATATGTATATATACACACATATATACATATGTGTATATGTATATATACACATACGTATACACACATATACGTATACGTATACACACATATACATATACGTATACACACATACATATACGTATACACACATATACATATACGTATACGTATACACACATATATAATATACGTATACGTATACGTGTACACACATATACGTATACGTGTACACACATATACACGTATATACGTATACGTGTACACACATATACGTATACGTGTACACACATATATACGTATACGTATACGTGTACACACATATATACGTATACGTGTACACACATATACACGTATATACGTATACGTGTACACACATATACGTATACGTCTACGTGTACACACATATATACGTATACGTCTACGTGTACACACATATATACGTATACGTCTACGTGTACACACATATATACGTATACGTCTACGTGTACACACATATATACGTATACGTCTACGTGTACACACATATATACGTATACGTATACGTGTACACACATATATACGTATACGTGTACACACATATATACGTATACGTATACGTGTACACACATATATACATATACGTATACGTGTACACACATATATACGTATACGTATATGTATACACAAATACACTTTTTTCCTGACTTGTTTGAGAATAAGTCACAGACATATTGAACATAAAGTTCAATGTATACTTACTAAAAATAAAGATTCTTTTACATAAGCACAGCATATTGATCAAAATCAGGAAGCTAACATTGGTACTAATCTATCTAAATACTTTAATCTAAAGGCTTTATTCAGATTTTGCCAATCGTTCCAATAATGTCCTTTAGAGCAAAAGAAAATCCAGGGTCACATGGTGCATTGGGTTATTATGTTTCTTAAGTCTCCTTTAATCTGGGACGTTCCTCGCTCTGTCTTTGTTATTTCATGTCCTTGATATTTTTGAAAATACAGGGCAGTTATTTTGCAAAGTGTCCTTCATTTTGGGTTTGTCTTATTAGTTTTGTCTTTGTTAGTTTTCTAGTGATTAGAGTCGTATTATGTACTACTGGCAGGAATACCACAAAAGTGACGTTGTGTTCTTCTCAGTGCATCATTTTAGGAGGAACATTGTTGATTTGTCCCATTACTGGTGATGTTAACTTTGATCATTTGCTTAAGGTGGTAAGGTGATAGAAAGCTTGTCACGATAATGCCAGGTTTCTTCCCTATAAAGTTAGTATTTTTTTCTTTGTAAATAGTAAATATCTTGTAGGGAAGTACTTTGAGACTATGTAAATGATCTTGCTGCTCATCAAAATTTTACCCACAAACTAATTAAAAAATAAGAAGGACATATGAATATGCTCATTTCTTCAAAGAGCATATACAAATGTCCAATAAGCATATCTAAAGATGCTCAACATCATTAATCATCAGGGAAATGCAAACCAAAACCTCAAAATCAAAACCACAGTGAGATACCACATCACATCTGCTAAAGTAACTATGCTTAAGAAGACACATAATGACAAATGCTGAAAAAGTGGAGAAATTGGAATCTTCATTCATTCCTGCTGAGAACATACAATGGTATAGCCACTGTGGGAAACAGTTTGGTAGTTCTTTAAAATGTTAAACATAGAGTTACCATATGACCCAGCAATTTTACTCCTAAGTATATACCCAAGAGAATCGAAAACATTTGCTCACACCAGAACTTGTACACAAATTTTTATAGCAGAACTAATCACAATAACCAAAAGGTAAAAACATCCCAAATGTCTATCAACTGGTGAGTTCACAAACAAAATGTGATATATCCATATAATGGAATATTATTCAGCCACGAAAAAGGATGAAGTACTGATGCATGTTACAACTTGTACCTCAACTTGGACAACCTTGAAAACATGCTAAATGAAAGAAGGCAGACACAAAAGGCCACATATTGTATGATTCCATTTATGTAAAATGTGCAGAATAGACGAAGACACAGTGACAGAAGGTAAATTAGTGGTTGTAACTGTTTAGTGATGGAAGGATGGAGTGCAACTGCTTAATGAGTACAGGGTTTCCTTGGGGTTAATAAATAGTGTTCTGGAATTAATAATGGTTATGGTTCCATAACCTTGTGAGTACACTAAAAACATCTAAATTATACACTTTAAAATAGTAAATTGTATGGTATGTGAATTGTATCTCAGTAAAGCCATTACAAAAACTGAAGTTTCCCTCACTAGATTTAGCATTCATTGACAATTCTGCTGAATCAATTATTATTGTGGTGGATGCCAAATGGTGATTTTTTTAAAAATAGGCTTTATTTTTAAGAGCATTTTTAGTTTCATAGCAAAATTGAGCAGAGGGTACAGAGATTTTCCATATGCACCCTGCCCCCATACATGTATAGCCACTCACCATAATAGTATCATGCATAGTAGTTTCTATGTCCTAAAAGTCCCTGCAAATGCTAAGTCCTCTTAGCAGATAGAGTTAGAAAATCCATGTGTATACATATGTTCATATATGCATATGTATATACACACATCTATTATATATTTTTTATCTTTCTTTCATACAGACTTCAATATAGACAAAGACACACATTAAAAGCTACAAGTTTGTACTCATACTCTAATTTCCATCTGACATAACAGGGTTCATTCTTTCTTTTTCCTTTTCCGTATTTATAACTCCTTTTTCTGACACTGAGAAACCTGAGTCCAATTATTCACTATATATTAACTAATTAACTCAATTCTAGAATACACGGAAAAGTACTTTCAGAATTGCTAACCCATGACACTATGGAAAGAAGCCTACTAGCTAGTGTACAATATTTGCTTAGAGTTATTTTTGTCTTTAGCCTAAGGACATATAGTTTGAAGATTGTGTGCAAAAATCACTTACATTAGCTCTTAGTCGCCTTACGCCTCCACCCCCACTGTGGATATGTTATTCATTTGAAATATACTTAAGTTTGCTTATTTCTGTTTGAATTCCTTTAAAAGTTTTGTTTTTTCACCTTTGTTTATTTTTTCTTTTCTTTTTGTAAAAAAAACACTGTGAAACATTAACATGCTTTCAAATGTCAGAACTTTTTCATTTAAAAAGGTATCCGGGATCTTACTCAACATCAGTTTATAGAGATCTTCCTCAGTTTAAAGCTTATTTTAATTAAATAAATCTCTAGTAGAGGAATGTTCAATAATGTATTGGTCTCTTTACAAGAAAAAAAAAGTCATTTTATTTTCTGTTTTGAATTTTATTTTCAAATTCCTGGGTCTGAGAAACTGTTAAAATGGTGGCAGAGTATGTCCAAGGAAACATTAGCATTCAAGAGAGAAAACTAGGAAAATGACTGATGTAGTAATTAAATAATCAAGGAAGGTATTGAAAAACTGAATTTTATTGTGTCTGCTTGCCAGCTGTTAAAATGAGGAGCCCAGGTCAGCTTGACGTAGTTATTTGCCCCTGGAGTTAAATGAAATGATTTTTTTTTTTTTTTTGAGACGGAGTCTTGCTCTGTTGCTCAGGCTGGAGTGCAGTGGCCCGATCTCAGCTCACTGCAACCTCCACCTCCCGGGTTCAAGCGATTCTCCTGCCTCACCCTCCTGAGTAGCTGGGACTACGAGCACATTTTTTGTATTTTTAGTAGAGACGGAATTTCACCATGTTAGACAGGATGGTCCCGATCTTCTCCTGACCTCGTGATCCGCCCGCCTCGGCCTCCCATTGTGCTGGGATTACAGATGTGAGCCACCACGCCTGGCTGAAATGATCACTTTTTAACTCAATGCCTACTTAGTGGCAAGTGCTATTTAGGACATAAAAGAAACATGAGATTTGGCTGCTGACTTTACAGAACATCAGATCTAATTGGAGAAACCAACCAAACATATACAAAAAGAAAATTAAATCTTTCCAAATTCAGGAAAATAGAGGTGCTGTTCCAGGATACTAAATAATTACTTGACTAAATGGATTGTCCCTGCTTCCAAGGAAGCCCTGACTCCTCTGAGAGTAGTTCAAAGGTGAAGTACTCTGAGAACTGGATTGATCGGGGAATGTCTGAGGATGAGTTAGGGTTGAGATAATTTTTGGGAGGGCACATGGGTAGGTGAAAGGAACCAGGGATCTACTGCAGAAGGTAAGACAGCTACTGGGTACAAACATAGGTAGGACTGTCCAGCGGTTTTGATGAAAGAGCTAGAGCCAGACTCCCTGGATTTCACTATGGTGGTCCTGCCATTTATTAGCCCTACAATTGTGATCAAGTCACTCATTGCTCTAAGCATAAGTTACCCTCATCTATAAAATGGAGTGATAATAGTACCTGCCACCTAGAGATCTTGTGAGACCAAAATAAGATAATCCATTCAACTTTTAGCACAGTGCTTGGCACAGAGTATGCTCTCAATACACATTTGCTATTTATCATGCAAAAGCATGAGGGCAAGGAAGCATAAGATGTAATTTAAGAAGACTGAGTAGGCCGGGCGCGGTGGCTCACACCTGTATTCCCAGCACTTTGGGAGGCCGAGGCGGGCGGATCACGAGGTCAGGAGATCAAGACCATCCTGGCTAACATGGTGAAACCCCCTCTCTACTAAAAATACAAAAAAAATTAGCCGGGCGTGGTGGCAGGCGCCTGTATTCCCAGCTGCTCGGGAGGCTGAGGCAGGAGAATGGTGTGAACCCGGCAAGTGGAGCTTGCAGTGAGTGGAGATCACACCACTGCACTCCAGGCTGGGCGACAGAGCGAGACTGCGTCTCAAAAAAAAAAAAAAAAAGAAAAAGAAAAGACTGAGTAAACCAGTCTGATTGCATTAGAATGGTCAAGATGGGAGCAGTGGGAGTTAAAGCCCAAAATATATGTTGGGAACATACTACATTGTTGTGGAAGGAGCAGTATAGTAGTTAATACTTATATGCAACTTACTGTATGCTTGGCACTCATCAATGTGTTTTTATAAAATGTATATCAGTCCATTTCTGCCTCTCGCCAACCCTGTGAGAAAGGTATTATTATTATTATCCTCAATTTACTGGTAAGGGAAAATTGAGGCACAGAGATGCTAAGTAACTTGTCCAAGATCACACAGCTTCTAAGTGGAGAATCCTGGGTGCCAGGTCAAGGTGTATTAACTAGGCTTGAATTATAGGTTTATACATACTTGGAAAAACTTCTTTACCTCACTTCCAGAAGATGTGAATATGGAAGTGGAAGAATTAGTAGCAACAGTGGCAACGTTTATATTACCAGAAGATAATCTCAGCTGCGCCATGATGGAAATACATATTAGGCTTTTAGAATTTGTAGAGATTAATGTTCCACAAGTGTTCATTTCAGGTAACATTAGCTTTCTTTCCTCTCATAAGTATACATTATTACAAGAGGATAATACTCAGATTGTTGAATTAGAGTGGTGATAAGTGTTTTAGTAAACCTATGGAAACACTTCTCAATCTGAGCTCTGTCAGTCTGCAAATTAAGCAAATATATACCCAGTTCATCTTTTCAGTGTAGTTTAAATATTTGAGACAAAGAATTCTTCAATATTTAGAGAATAGGACAGATATTGGACTAATAAGAGATGCTCCTCTGAATACTTTTACATATTTCATTGGTGACCAAAGTACTTTTTTATTATCTATATTATAATTGATATCAATAGACAGTTTAAACCATAGGATCACAGACTGATAGAGCAGGCCTTTAGAAATTTTCTGGCCCACTCTCTTCATTCAATCTAATGGGGTAGGCTTAGACAGCATCAATTACTTGCCCAAGGTCACACACTTAATACAGCCTCTCTTCCCTCCTTCCCTCCCTCGCTATCTCCTTCCTTTTTGGCTTCCTCCTCCTCTTCTTTTCTCCCTCCATCCTCCTTCCCCCTTCCATATTTTCTTCCAACAAACATTTGAAATTGGACACATTCTAGGTGCTAGACCCAATTCTGAGCACTGGAGACCCAACAATTTACGAGGTAAAAGTGTTCCTTGCTCTCATCACTCTAGCCTATACTCTTAATAACTGTTTCTAGACTAGAGCTTATACACTACTCCATTACTCTGCTGAGGATTCACTGATTCAGATAATCTAGAAGGGGAGATACTTTCTGCATTAAACAAAAACAGTTGTAACATACAGCCAGCCTTTTGCATATTTTAGGGGATATGTACAAGAAGAGCTATTATTTTTACATTGATTCTAACAGTGTTTCCAAAGCCAGAAGGAGCCAACCACTCCAAAATTGAATGACCAATGGGAAATTACTTTTAAATATATTACTCATGATGAAAAAGCATGCATTTTAGTATATGAATATTTTATTAAGCAAAGTGCCTGTGACTGGCTCCAGAATTTTGTAATACTTAGTGTGAAATATGTAATAAATTGCATAATTGAAAAAAGAAAGGTGATTACAAAAACATGGCTTAAGGGGCTAATAACTCCTAGAAAGAGCACACCAATGCATAACTGCTTGAGCATTAGAATACTATATCTTGAAAAAGGCCTGTAGTGAAAGTTTGAGTTGAACCCTTAAAAGGAAACATCACGCTAAAGTTACCTTTATCTCTTTGCCAAAGGAAAGCGGTTGATTGTTGAAAAGTGGCTGAAGTTGATTGCATGGTCAGCCTGGCCCTAAAGTACCCTTACAAATGAGACAGAAAATCCAGAGTTATATGCCCTCCAACTGAGAAAGCATATTTATTGACTTGAAGACATATTAGTTTTTCAGGCATGCTTAGAGATCTACTCTCTGTTTTCCTTAGGTATTATTCATTCTATGTATCTTCAAGTCCCGTAATTTCCCAGACACTCTGCATACTGTTTGCCCGTAGTAGATGTCACATGTAGGTTTGCTGATAGCATTGATTTTGCATGGGTTTCAGCTCCCGCCAAAAGGCAGTCCTTTGAGCTCCTCTTTAGGGAGCATAGGTGTGCTTTTAACTGTGGTGGCTTCATTAGTCTTGGTCCCTTCAATGCCGTTAGTGGATTTTTAACAGAAGGAAACTAGCCTGCTCCCTTACTCTCTGCAGCACGGGTTCTTATGCAGTACATGTATTCACATGGGTCTTATACATACCACAGCTTTTCAAGGGAATGAAATGTCAACGTTAATCCAGAATTGGTGATATTTGTTCATATATGTAAAATGTAGACATTTCTAATACAATTATGTGGGTCTGTCAAAGTTACTCCTTGAAGTGACGTGTGTGAGTAGTGCCATCGCTTTAAGGGTGGCACTCACAAAACTGGCAGAGGCCATAGATGTGCAGCAGACAGTGAAGGTTTCACAGCTGTCACCTCATCAGGCCTCTACTTTGTTAGTCCCTCCAACAAACCAGAGGGAAACTGTTTATGGAGGGCAGAGACGGGACTGATTCATGAATCCTGGATTCCAATGAAGATCATATTGAGTTTGCGGAGTCGTTCAGTGATTCAACTTGCAGAAACTATCATGTAGATTTTATTTCTCCAAAGCAATCATTCCTGTTCACATTTTTAAAAAAATCAAAATCTGAGTCTTACCTGATTGGTACACTTTCCTTCTACTGTGAAAGTTGTGCTTTAAGTAAAGGCAGCAATATCAAAACAGTATGCAATTTCTACTAGCTTACCAGTGTAGTCATGTTTGTATGGTCACCCCCATGCCACTGTCTTCTTCTTTTTGATCATCTGCTCTGGATTGTTTGAGAGAGCTTGAACCAGGCTAAACTAAAGTGACTCACAGCACTCCCTGGTGTTTCTATTGTGAGTCGGCGTCAGAACTTGTAGAACCGCAAAAACATACTCAGATTTCAGTTCTCCATGTTCACTTTAGAGATCACATGAGACACTATATGTTACTGAGTAAAAGAAACTGAATCCATGCCATGGATCCATATGGCATGTGGACAGTTAAGAGCTGAACTAGGTTGGCATTTGCAGCAGGGGAGTTGGAAAAGTGGCCTGATCATACCTAGCCAGCAGGTCTCTCGGTGCAGTGACAAGACAATCAAATTGGCAGGCTTTGAGAACTTTCCTCTTTCAGCATAAGGAGGGAGGGGGGCAGAGAGGCAGTGAGAGGCATTTAACTGTGCTGATGTGACTTTTTAAATTTGTTGCCACTGATGCCACGGACGTTAATTCTTGCAGGGTTAATTATGAGAAATTAAAAAGCTGCTCTGAACAGACTGTACCTTTCACACTCTGATAAAGCAGGCTCTGACATGAGAACATCTCTTCATTAATATCCATCCCCAAAGGGCTACTACATGCAGCATTTGGAATATGAATCTTGAACTTCCAGGGACAATGCAGGACACCATGGAGATAGGGTTCAGAGAAGGATGACTATGCTTCTTTTACATTTTCAGGAAAACACTGCAGTGCCTGCCTGGAAATCACCTGGCTGGTGACATTTGGAAAGGATAATTTATTTATTTGCTTGTTGGTATGTTATGAGTTTTGAAATATGATTTTAACTTCATTTCATGTAGACCTCACTGCATCAGGGCTCTCAGTGTCTCTGTGTAATTCATGCAAACACCAACAGGTAGGCTTGCAGAAGCCTTGTAATTGTTTACCATTTAGTATGTCACCCAAGTGGCTCTAGGGTATGCATTTGTTTCTCAGGAAAATTTCACCAGCTCCTTACACTAGGCACTTTTCCACCAGCCTAATATATTATACTAAATAGCAATCTTGTTACACCAAATACATTGCAGAAAGTAAACTGTGAAAAAATACCAGTATAAATAGTGCAACTCTAAGGCAGATGCTGGGGAAAAAATAAAAGCCTTCCTATACAATATGCTTAATTTGTATTATTGTAACCGGAAAGGCCATGTTTTGAAGGAAACTCACCTAGAAATGGAAGTAGGTAAAACAGTCAAATGCCGTAGCAGTGTTACCTTTCAGCAAAGATAAAGCCCTATTGTTCAATGGATTGGGAACTGAGAGCGGTCACAGAGCAGCTCTTCATGTTAGAGCTCTGTTCCAGAACTCAAGTGTAGTTCCCCCTTAGTAAGGGCATCTGCTAATCATTACCACCAAACACGCAGTTGGAAAGACATTAAAATATACTACCTATTTTATACTGCAGAGCTGGCAGTGTGAACACAGAGCAATTCTTGGATTTGCTGGCTCTCTGAGGAGCTGACAGCCATTGGCTGTTAGAAAAAACAAAATATGAAAATCCATCAATATGTAATTATCTCTTCTCTTTTGTCTGAAGATCATATTGCTCAAAGGGATATAATAAGGCACAACACTGTTATTCTGCCTCTGCATTCTGTTTCATGCATTTTCCTTCCTAGTGAGCGGGCACCTACCTAGACCTTGCTTCTGATCGTCCACTAAGAGCTATTTGCATAGCCATAGTCTCTACATGCTTTTAGGCCTCCCTCCCTTTCTTCCTTTTTAATTTCTCAAGCCCCTGAGACATCAGTGGTTCTCTATGAGAAGCATCCTTGCCTCTTTATATTCTTAGCTAGGAAATGGGTGACAAACCCCAATGTTGCCTCATTCAGTACCTCAGGGCATCATACCACATGGAAGTGTTCTTGGTAGCACCCTAGTGGCTTTAAGAAATACCCACATACCCTTCTAGAAGAACCCAAGAATCATGAGGATAAGATAGAAAGGAGCCCAGGGGTTGCTAATTTCCAAGACAAGGAGTTGCCTCATTTGTTGTATTTGTTTTCCTTAGGAAATGTTTCCTACTCCCAAGACCCAGTAAAATGAATATTTTTCATTATGATTTCATAGAGGGGTAAACATAGATGGGGAAAGAATCATATGTGCAAAATAACTGGATCGTAACTACTCTTGTGGTTTTTCCATTCAGAAAATACTTGTACACAGCAACTCATTGGAGGAGGGAGGTTGTGGTTTATTATATAATCCTGGTCTGCAATTTTCCTTAGATGCACAAGATGGTTGTTTCTGTTTCTCTTTGAATTACCCGTGTTGCCCTCTGGGTATTATATAAACGATGAACTTGTATGTTCATTGAAACATTAACAATCTTCATCCAAAATGTTTGGCATAATTTTTCTTCCTCTTGAACTCATTGCTTTTGCTGTGCTGCTGTCATTGGTAGTATCATCCAAATATAATATTGGACCTAAATGCCATCAGCAGACATGAGCCACAGGGAATAGGGCCATAGGTCATCATAATCATGTGAAATTTCTTGGGCACTGTTTACATGGAAGGAACACTTGACTATATGTGGAAGCTTGTCTACAAGTCAGTCTTCTGGCTTAACTCTAGGGTAAAGAGTTCCAAAGCTCTGGAGGCAGGAGACCTAGGTTCCAGGCCCAGCCCTGCTACTGATTTGTTCTGGGCCTTTAAGTTAATTAACCAACAAGAGCCTCAGTTTCTTTCTCTCCTTCAGGAATGGAGCTAATAATCATTTCTGCTCTGCTTTTGTTACTAAGCATCAAATGAAATGCTGTACAAGTGCTTTAGATACCAAAAAGTGCCACGCATATGCTGGTTATTCTTGTAGTTTGTATATTATTATCTAAGTCCATTATTTAATGGATTCCAGCCACAATCAACTCTTTCAAGGCATGGACTGGATTTATTCCATCATTAGCGAAGAAATTTCCTTTTCTGAGAGGGCCAAGATTACGTTTTGTGTAATCTTGCTTTCCATAGAAGTGACCACTTTCAAGTACTAATTTTACATGCACTTGAGCACTTGGCAAATAAAGTGAAACACTTTTTTAAAAAACATCTTTTCTTTTGGACAATTGTTGCAAAACCCTGATATATCATTTCTCATCAGGGTAAGGATATACACTGTTTTCAACTGCATTTCTTGTTTTCATCGAAAATGCAGCCCATTCACAACTTGTTCCTGTCTAAGGAAAAGGCTTGCACTGCTACATTTCCTCATTAGCTCTGCCTAAGACAAACTCCTGTGTCATGGCTGATGGAGCCTTTATGAGCTTTTTAGCCAAATGACTGATGTTTGCCTCGTTATGTCAGATCTGAGGGCACTCCTGGCATCTCTCTTTATTCCCTGTCTAACACCATCAATCGAGCAGCTGCCATGCACCCATGATCAGGCTGATTATGAAAATGTGCTCAGGAGCCTGATGACTCCAGTTGTTTTTTATCTGAAGAGGCCAGTAGATGCTGGCTAGAGCTTATAGTTATATGAACAGCAGATTTTGTCCCAGGATTAGCAGGTGAGAATCACTGGAGCTGAGTCCATAGCAGCTAGGTGAGGGCCATGAAAACTAACATTGGTTTATTATAGAAGAAGCTCCTAGAAGGACTGGTTTTGGCCATTTTAGTCATTTTCCCATTTATCCCTTAGAAGATTATTTTGGCCTTTTCATTTTGGTTTCATGTCCTAGACAAGTTTATTATTCTCATGACCATGGGAAGAAAGCTTTTTAAACCCAAGGCCTGCTATAAAAAAAAAAAAAAAAGTATATTTTTCATAAGTGCACTTTTTAATTAAGATAAATATTTTTTATGGGGCACATCAAAATCCAGCTGTACCTTCATGAAGTTTCCCTGAATATATGATGACAGCTTTTATTTGCTGCTGAAATTAAAAGTGATCTGTGACCTTCTCTGATCCTGAGACTGTTACTAGCCTGGTAGAGTGGTCTGCAAATGATGGGGCTTGGGCTTCATTAGGGCACTGGCCTACTCCTGTGAGCTAGCTTGATGGGGTTAGGCCCTGAGGCACGTGGCCTTTGGATGGAGCTCAGCTAAGTGCCTCATCAGCAGGGAGTCAGCTCTATAACCTCCCAGCTGAGCCCAGGCAGGATGAGGTTGAAACAGCCTATTGTTTTTTCTCCTCTAGGCTTTTTTCCTTACCCAAAAGTAGCCCTGTGGCTTTTCTCTCTTTTCTTTCTTACCTAGTCTCCCTTTGTATCACCTTTTACTTGGAAAACCAGAAACCTGTATTATAATTTAGTTCAGAACCTCAGGTTGTTCTGAAGTGTTTGAAATAGATCGCTCTGCTGACCCTGGAGGGGAGCCCAGGCTGACCACACCAAAGGACATCCTCATGTGTTCAGGAAAACTTGGTGAGACTGTAGCTGGATCTTGATATGCTAATTTCTAGTCATTTCTGAGAAGCTGTGCATTCTCTAAACCAGCAAGTTCTTGGGGTGCTCAAACAAGTGAATGGGGGTAACAATTTTTATATTTGCTTAACACTTTTTATAATTAGTGTATCATGGTTGCGTTTCTAGCTACTGACAAGGAGTCTAGAACATGGGTGGGAGATAAAATACAATTCAAGGCCACCTGGGAGTGAAAGAGGAAGTTTGGCAAAGAACGTAAGTTTTGTAACCCTTGCCTAGTGTTAGAATCACCCAGAGAGGGTTGAGAACAAACCCATGTCCAGAATCCACACCTGAACAGTTAAGTCAGAATCACTTGGATGGACCCTGTATAGGAATGTTTTCAAAGCTTCCCATGTGATTTGAGTGTGCATGCAGCCAGAGATGAGACCACTGGTGTGGTAGAAGAAGCATGAACTTCTAAGTCAAAGATGGGAGTTTGAGCCTTGTCTTATCTCTGTGCCTTATTGGTACTGTGGACTTGGGAAAAATCATCTAACGTTTCTGTACCTCAGGATCTTCATCTGTAAAATGAGAATCAGAGTAATAGCTGCTATTTATTGAGTGCTTTCTTTGTACCAGCTATTGTGCTGAGCACATTACATGCATTCTTGTTTAATCTTCACAAAACCTCAAATAATTTGAGAGTACTGTAGTTATCTCCATTTTACAGATTTAGAAACTGAAGCTCAGAGAGTGTGAATAATTTGTCCAGGTTGTATGAACAATCAGCATGGAACCAGAACCCTTACCAGCTCATGTTTACTCCAGAGTCCAAGCTTTTAACCATGATTCTAGAAAGAATGACCACTACCAAAACAATTTCTTCACAGGGATATGAACTAAGTGAGTTAATATATGTTTAAATACTCTGTAAACTGTGCATGGATATATGTGTGGAAGTTGCATATTAGTAGTGGTAGGAGTAAAAAGAATAGGCTGGGAATTTCGGTTTATGAAACATCAGAGTCAGTTGAAAAGCTGTAGACATGCAAGCAGAAGTGAGTGGGATGCGGCTAAGCATTTGTGGGCTCTTGTGGCTCGGTTAGAATTACAAGACAGCACTTTAGAACTGCTTAGCCTGAGCTAGTCAGGACTTACTCGGGTCTGGAATCAATTCAGAAATACATCTGGAACACCCTCCTGAGGACCTCTTTGCCTTTTGTTTATGTCTACTAAATTTCAAGTTCTTTCTCAGTTTACAGAAGTAACATCAGGCACATAATTCATGTTTTAAAAGAAGAGAGAAAGAGACGTGGTTGTCATATGTGAATTAGCTGCTTTGACTTTTTTCAATAGTGGATTGATCACATGCCTCTAATTTAACTCCCTTTTAAAACCACACCAAAACTACAATAAGGGATTTTTTTTTTTTAAAGAAACTCAAAAGGACTGGAGATATGTGAGAGGAAATAACCAAATTTCAGAAGCTGGAAAGCATTTGAGCAAATATTAGCTGATTTAGCAGATCTGGAAATCCAAATCCTAGCAGTGGGAAAGCTTAGAATCAATACAGTTCACACTGCAGAACCTTCAAAAAGCCAAGGAATTGGTGATAGCAGATATCCCTTGAAGCAGGAGTGAAGAGGGTATAAAATATAGAGGATTGATTGAAAGCTGTGTAAGAAGTTAGATCCCCAATTCCTCTCCCTCACTCTTACTGCTCTTCCTTTCCCCAGCCTTGCAGAAAATGGAACTTTATTTTTTGGAGAGGATAAAACAGAGGTTTGTTGTCCTGGAGTACTTTTCTGGAAACATGGATTTTTAGTGAACAAATGCATACACCACCAGCTACACACAGGGACTGCCAGTTTGCTTCCACTAGAATGCTGGCAGCAAGGATTCACTGTGACATTCCAGAAAAAAAGAAGATAAAGAGAAAATTCCACAAGCCTCCAGAAAGAAGGAAGAAGGGAGGAAGGTAGGAGAGAGGGAGAGAATAGGTATCATGCAATGGGACAGAATAGCTTTGGATTTCACAGCAGCACTTGAAACTCAAAGACAATCCTGAAGGAAAATAACTTCCACCTTAATATTTCTACTTAGCCAAATTATCGATAAAGTGGGAAGATAGGATAAAGACATTTTCAGACACTCAAGATCTCAGAGAAAAATTGACCTCTAACCAAGTTTTTCTCAGTAACCTACAGAGGATGTATTTGTTCACCAAAGAGAAGGAATAAATAAAAGGAGAGGAAAGCATGTCTATAGGAAACAGGAGCCATAACACAGGAGAGAGGCCAAAGGAGTCTACCAGACAGTGGTGAAGAGAATCCCGATGTAGAGGGCAACCAGTTGAGGTTGAAGTAGGTCAGAAAGCTCTGAATGAAATTTATGAAGAAAATGAAATAGATAGCTAATGTGAGTAAATGTATTGACAGGATTTATGCAGCTAGTAGAGAGTTTAAGGTTGGATTAGTGATATGTGCATAGAAAAATGACCAAACATTAATAAAAAGCCAGTCATGATGATTGACTCCAAAAAGTTGCTCAGGAAAGGAAAATCCTAGTTTAGTACATGGCTTAGGTCTGAATAACATATACCATCTAAAAATTGCAAAAATAAAAATTGATCTAACTAAACTTTTGACGTAAATATGTTGGGAAGATGGAGGGATGACAAGTATTCCAGTATGTAGTAGGGAAGAGGAAAGCAAGAAGGTCAACTAAATGCTCATTTTCCACAGAAGGAAGTCAATAGATAATACCTAAAAATAAAAAAATAGCAATCCAGTGTGTTTTTTAGAGAAATGAAGGCAAATGCTCCAAGAATAAAATAAAGTTATAAGCAATTGCTTGTTGAGAAGAAGGAATAATCTAGGGGTGCAGTGGCAGGGCTGGGAACTGCTTTGGGTCTTTAAGAAGCTTTGATAGGTAGTTGACTCTTGAAATCATCATATGTATACATCAATTTGATAAAAATCCCTAACATCTACTGTGCTCTTTGGCAAATACAACAATGAAAACTGCCTTGAGATAGAAAATGAAATGCACAAAGTAGTAATAGAAACTCCTTTCCTTGGTGTAGGAGATAAGATATATATACTCCTACTAAGCAGGTGATAGTTACAAAAGAAAGAAAGAAGTCCAACAGTAAAGAAGCAAAGCCTCCATCAAACTTTTATTTTGAAGGAAAAACAATCAAACACCAATGAAATGGGCTGTAGTACATCTGAAGGAACAAGAGCGCCGCCCGCCTCCAACCACTTCATGGCCACTTGTGCCCTGGTGTGACTGCCTAGTCAAGGGGCCAGGGAAGCTGCACAAAGACCCTTTCATCTAGCCAGGTCTCTCTCCTTAATTGCTTGCAAATCCAGTAGAGCTAACCCAAATACAATAGGTACTTGAGATGTAGCCTCTGAAAAGAGCATAAAGTGGGACGACTATGTTCCCATCTCCTCTGACAGTAGGAATCAGGATTTCCCTGGAATTTCCCATTAGCCTCACTTTTTAGTATTTCAGCTCTCCCAATTAGGCCAAATAGTGATATGCTGAATGCTGGGGCAGATCCTAAATGTCAGTTAGCGAGGTTTAATGAAAGCAAAGAGCTCTGTGCACAGGTAAGTCATATTAACAGATATTTGTAGTCATTTGCATAATTGATGTGACTAAATAGTTTAATCAGGAGAATATTGGAAATATTTGTTACACTTTTAGCCTCCTTTTGTATTGCTCTAGGATAAAAACTGTGGAGATAACTGAAAGTATTGACTAACTCCTCAGGGGATGTGATATATCTTTTGACAATGAAAACTCCCAATAAATTCTCAGCACTACTAAGGAACAACTCAATGGACCATGTTAACACTTCCTGTCTGTCTGTCACCAGACAACCACCAGGGGTTACTATAGCTAGGCTCTCTACAGAAAGGGTTATGACATCTGCTGGGGGGCAGATGAAGGGGTCTGGCTTACCCTATTTTCTATGGTGAAGCTACAGTTAGTTAATTTGAAATTAATAATGCCTTAGTGGAGTTTACCAAAAACCTCTGCTTGTGGGGCCTTGCAACAAAGAGGAGAATGTTTAAGCCGAAAAATGCTTAATGTCTTTTAAAATCTCAAGTCGGGCTGCTTTGTGTGTTACCCTATGAAAGGCCCTATGAGGTGGTGGAGGAGCTGAGGAGGGCAAAGAGGGGAGTGTGGTAATCTCAAAAAGCCCAGTGAGCTGGACAGCGATTTCCTTTCTCTGTGCCAGGTAAAATCAGCACAGGAGCCCTTAATCGCTTGTTGTTCTAGGGTATTATTAAGTGAATACATTTTTCATGGCCCACCTGCTAGTGTAACTAATTAACAGCCATTCTCATTAATTACATTGATCAGGATCATAAAATAATTTCAAATTGCTGAGCATGATCCGCAGGACTAAAATGGTTTCACTTTAATCCCTTAATGATTTTTTCATGATTAATCAAACAAAATATATGTAGTTATTTGATCCACTTTTTTCATCTTAGAACTGCAACTCAGGGCAATTATAGTCGACATAAAGTTGATACAAACAGAACTACGTTTCATGCAGTAGCTAATTAAGCAATAAGACACAATGGGGTGAGGGTATATGATTATCATGAGATAATCACCCCCCTGAGGAGTCACAGAGCAAAAGGTACAGTTGAGTACCTCTGCTCCCACAGGGCTGTGATTACCTTCGCATAACCACATATCCCGCCGGCGCCTTATTGCTAATCGCAAACTCTTCGTTTTACACGGAAATAAACTGAGGAAAAATGACTTTCATCATAGGAAATGGCTCGCTGCGGTATAAAGGTTTCATCTATTAACAGTGACAACATTAATGCGTACTTTGGAAGGTGAAATAATCAATTATGCTGTTCTCACATCATCAATAGGAGTTGGGGGATTTTAAATTGATGTTTATACTTTGAAGAGTACGTACATCTGGTAGTTTGGGTGTATGAAATTAAGTATACAAATGCTCATACATCTAATAATTAATGTTTGATTTAATTGGAAAGGTCTTGCTTTTAAGGTACTAGACATTTTTGAATGAAATTATAAAATAATAGTAAGGCAACTCATTTCCAAAGTCTAAAAAAGAGAAACAAATACATTTGCTAAATTTTGGCCATAATTCCTCAAATCACTGCCAGCATTAAAACTTTCACGCCATCTTCCAGCCAGCAACAAGATGTGACCAATGGGAACACGAGGCCATTTAGGTGAAGGAGATAGTTCTGGCTCTGAGACATGGTTCGTCCCCTTCCCCCTCCCCATAAATGAATAAAAAAAATAAAACCCAAACAAACAAAAACGAAGTAAAATGACCAATATCCTTCCTGTGCCATGGCCAGGTGGCAGGGTGAGAAGGCCCTGCTTCCTAGAGTGCCACCATCCCAAGGCACTAGCGTTCTCCTATCCTTGCCTGCACACTGCATGCCATGGGAAACCAGAATTCCTTCCAACCACCAGACTTAGTTACTTCTTCATCTAGGAACAATAACGGTGTTAGAGCAGGGGTCACACAAAAGAAAAGCAAAATAAACAGATAAAAACCTACTACCCTTTCCAGCAACTTCCAAACAATACAGAGTAGAGATAGAATCTAATGGTTGACAAACATACCTTTGGCTACCCTGGCTGTGTAGTGTTTGCGTTTAATGTCTTGAACGATTTCGTTCTTGTTAACTATAAAGAGATCCCTTGTAAACTTTAATGATATTAATCAACTAAACTTCCCATTTATCATGAAAAATAACTATGTATCTGATTTATGCCTAAAACAATCAGATTTATTTCATTTCATGTTTCCCTTCTGTCGGGCTAAATAATTATGGTTTTCTCAAAAGTGGTTTCTTTAAAACTGTCTTTCTCTATGTTAACTCTAGAACGGTAACAGAGTAGGTAAATAGTTGTTGGCTCTTGAAGAGGTTCATCCAAATTTGCCCAAGTTTGTCTCAAAATTAGAATGCCTGGTTTAGCATCTGTGGACTTCCTGAAGGAAATGCAATCATGTGCTTATTGTGACCCTGTGAAATGAATATAAGTTGTGTCATATGCAGGATGCATTACTGACTTTATGACATGCATGCATTGAAAATTGAGTACGTCCTATATATAAAAGCATCCTTCAATTTCTTATATTATGTTTTTAAAGTAAGTCAGTTAACAATATGATGAATTGAAAAATATATATGTAAAACAACTGGACATCAGATTCAGGAATTTTCCTTAACATGTTGGTAAGTGAAGAGCTGTCTTTGAAAACAAGAGTCTCACTTTAACCTTGCTAAACATTCAATTCAAGCCATATGGCTTGATCAGTCCAAACATTTGACTTGATGTGGCTCTGCTTGGCATGGGGTTCTCTACCATAGAGAAGCAGTTTTTGTGGTCAGCGTTATGAATGACCAAGACTTTGCTGAAAAACAAAACAGGCAGAAGATATAGGCAATCAGTATGATCTTGAAACATTGGCTTCATATTGAGTCTGCTGGTCTCTCAGCTTATCTCGGGTTCACAGCAGCACTCAAGCTTACATTATGTATTACGAAGAGGAAATGTCAGTTATTAACTTAAGTAGCATAGGTACGAATTGTAAAAGGGCTTTTAAAGTGCCAAATGCTGGAAAAAGGAAATTAAATGTAGTTATTTATGATAGAGCTTTAGAAATACTTAGATTTGTTCTTGAAAGACCTGGCATTTAGATTTTAAATCATGTTCAGTCCTCGAACTTGAACAATTCATGCAAAAATAAGAATAAAGACATCTTCCCCTATAATCATCTAAGTGCATGTATGTGTATTTGGCCATGATTTCTGCTCCCCCATCCCCCAAAGCAATCAACCATCACAACTTTCTCCTTCAATAAAACATAACACTTTCTTCTGTCTGGTGAGTTGAAATGATGACAGGTGAAAAAATTGACAAGTGAAGGACATTTGTAAACCTCTTTCAATTGAGATCAATTTTTGGTTTTTGTGTATGTGTGACTCTTCCACATTTGGTGGATATCGTCTAGAGAGATCTTTGCACTTGTGAACATTGCAGGTGTTTTGATCTTTCCAAGCTAAGGAGACTTGGTAGTCTTGTGTGGAATTTAGCAACACAATAGGTCTTTAGATAGATAGTCCACATGGTTTCAATGAAGTGCCATTTAGGAATTGCTCATTGGCCCAAACAAGTAGGAGGACAGCTTGGCGAGACAGATGGAAAAGGCTGCTTTAAGAAGGGATCAGAAAAGGCATTGCTCCTCTGCCGGCCTAAATCCACTAATCTGATGTTATTATTAGCGATAAGGAGCAGTAGCCAGAAGAAAATCTCATTCTCTACAAATGTCATTTAAATAGGACTCTGATATTTTCTGGTCAAGTCGACGGGCGTTATTCAAATACTGAGCACTTTATTTGTAAATGCAAGAAGGAAAGAAAAGCTTCAGTTCAGCAGTACTTAGGACGTCAGCTTACTAGTATTGATTAATCGTTCAGTAGTGGCAGCTGCTTCTTTATTAAATGTGCAGCTCACCATACAAAAGATATCAGGTGTAGGAAGTGTTTGTTGATAATTCACATTTTCTCACAATGTGGCAGAACCTACTCTTACTTGTTCAACTACTGTTCTTAGGAGTTCACCTCCTTCCATCTCCAGATGCCTGCCGCCCCCAAACTCCCTGTGCCTGCTCCCAAGTCAGTTAGTAGGCTGAGCCTCCTCCAAGCAGGCAGTGACTGCAACATTTAAAAAACATATTTGGAAATATTTTAAAAGTGTCCCAAGCTAAGTGTAGAGCAAATGCAAAGGCTCTGAGGTATGAATGAGCTTGGCAAGTTGAAGAAAGAGAAAGGAGGCCAGTCTTGGCAAGAAGAGAGTAATTAAGTTGGAGAGTGGCATGAAATGATATAAAAGAAGTAGGGAGGACAGATACTGTAGGGCCTGGAAGGCCATGGAAAGGAGTTACATTTCATTCTGAGAGCGTTTCTTTTACATTTCTTTTTCTTTCCTTGTCATTGTTTTGCTCTTTGGGAAGATCTTGCTACTTAAGTACTAATTTCAATTATAGATGTAGCACATATATTGCTAATGAGTCATATTCTCAGAATTGTGAAACTACTTCTTACTTGGGGAATGAGGCAGCTTAAGAAGCTGAAAGAATTCTTTGAGACCACTAGAGGTACTGTTTAGCAAGTTATCTGCTTCACAGAAATTGTACCCCAGCGAGGGCAAATATTTTCTGAAGTTTTCTAAAATATCTCACAGTCGGAGGTGAGTTTACACTTTAGGAGAGCCTGGCATCTATGTAAATCGTCAATGAATTTATCCCAAATTCACCTTTAAGAAACAAAAGTCCAGTAAAAAAGCTTTCTAACTCTTTCCCATCCTTTAAGATCAGTTTTAAGTTCATCTTCCTTTAGTATTCTCCAGCTCTTTAAATTTTCTTGGCATTTAACTTCAGTGGCCCTCACTTGGCATTCAGTATAAATTAAGTGTGCATGTATTACAGGCATATCTTTTTTTTCTCCCTCCAACGAGAAAGTAGGAATTTCTTAAGGTTATATCTTTAGTACCTGAAATCCATATATTGTGAATTTTTGAGAACAATTATTATAAAAGATTTTAAGTTCCATAAATCACTAAAATGTCTTATAAATTTCAATATTTTAATATCCCAGCGACAAACTCTATATGCCTCTTTCTGCAAACAGCATAAAAATGTTTTGTTAAATCCTATGTCTCCATTCAATAATGGTTTTATTGTGCTCATCAGGAAACATGGCCAATATATTGATTATTCATTCCTCATTAAATAAATTTCTTTTGAGTCATTACTGTGTGCTGCATATTCTGGATACTTGAGGATACAATAAATAACCAGACCAAACAACAAGTGATACTGTTATGAATTAAAAAGCCTTGGCTACTAGAGTAAGGATGCATGGGGTAAAGTGATGGAGTGAGGGCATTACCTTTAACAGGGTGCTCAGAAGAAGGCTTTTCAGAGGAGGTGCCATTTAAAAAGAGAGCTTGGAGAAAATTGTCCCATGCTAAGTGTATAGCAAATGCAAAGGCTCTGAGGTATGAATGAGCTTGGCAAGTTGGAGAAAGAGAAAGGAGGCCAGTATTGGCAAGAAAAGAGTAATTAAGTTGGAGAGTGGCATGAAATGAAATAAAAGAAGAAGGCGGGGACAGATATTGTACAGCCTGGCAGGCCATGGGAAAGAGTTAGATTTCATTCTGAGAGCAGTGGGAAGTTGTTGGAGAATTTAAGTCAGACAGTGGCAAGATTCGATTTATGTTTTATTAATAAAAATGTAGTCCTCTTCCATATGGAGAATGGATTGGGGGGTGTGGGATTGGAGGGGGTGATAGCGGAGGATGAGAGAAGAGTTGGATGTTTATTATGGCAGTTTTCTAGGTGAGAGTTGATTCTGACTTGGGCCAGGGTCATAGAAATATAGATGGAGAGAAAGGGAATACATTTTGGAGGTAGGTAGATGAAATTTGCTCTTGGGGTTGAGTGAACAAAACGAACGAAGAAATGACTTGAGAGTGATTGTTGGGGCCATATAACGAGAAGAGGCTGAAGAACAGGCAATGTAGAGTAACAGTTAAGAGCTCCAATTTTGCCATGGAGCAGCCTTGGTTTTGATCCTTGGACATATTCTCTAAGCTTCATTTTCCTAATCTGTAAAAGGTGAATAATAGTAGCCACTTCAAAAGTTTTTTTTTTTTTTAAATGGAATCTGTAAGGACTAATGCAGGTAAAATACTTAGCACAGTGCATCATAAATAATAAATGCTTAGTAGATAATTACAAAGGAGTCTTAGGAGAGAAACAACTTTGGAAATTCATGTAAGTTATTTTTTTTAATTACATAACTGATGGGACTTTCCCCTCTTCCAATCTGAAGTTTCTGATTTGACACATTAAAAAGTCAAGAATGTGTCTAGTGAGTCAAGGGTAATGTCAGCAGCACAGCTGGCTGTCTTGAAAGATTTACCTCCACAAACCATAAGAAATAACAATATAGGAAAAGTAAATTCTACACTAAACCAAATTCTTTTAGGATAATTTGAAGACAGACAGTGCCAAATGTGAAATCACTATGTGTAAAGAGGAAAAAAAAATGTCACCAAATCTCAGTGTGTGATTTCATGATTCTTCCCTGACTCTGCTCTGATAAAAGACTTTGCAGTCAGTAAGGGGCGACTGAGAAAAACTTCAAAAAGGGTTGGTATGTGCAGAATTCCCTAAGTTCTTCTATGTTGAAAACTTTTATTTTCTCCTATATTGGTATCTGAATAACAGACTGGCTAGATATAAAATCTAGCCACTTTCTTTCATTAGGTGGTTTTTTTTTTTTCCCCCATCATTGCCTTGGTTTTGAAAACTCTGATGCCAGTCTAATTCTTTTGTGTTCTGTAGCTTATTTTTATTTTAGGGGGAGACTTTGAGATGTTTATCATCATCTTTGAAATTACTAGTTTTGCCACCAAATGCATTGAGCTGATCATTCAGGATACTTTCTCCAGATGCAGTGAGCCGTTTCAGTGGGTTGATTCAGATCTTTTTCTATTTCAGGAACATTTTCTTTTATTATAATTTTAATTATTAGCTCAGTTCCAGCATTTTTGTTTTTTTTTTCCAGGGACCCCAATAATATAAATGTAAAATAATTGTTTTTTGCCTTTCTTCCATTTACAATACATTATTTCTGCTTCTTTTTGATTTTCTTATTTATGTAATTATCTTGGTTATTTTTCTATATTTCTTCAATGTCTCTTATTAAATTTCATTTGAATCTATTCTCCCTCGTGCACTTTGTAATTTATTCTTTATTTTTTAGATAACTTTGTCTATTTCATTTATTTATTGAGTTTCATTACTTACTTTTCATTTATTCCTGGGTTTTTTGGTACATCTCTAATTTTAGGTTTAGATTTCTGAGTCAAGGCAGATTTTCATATCTTCAAATGCTTTTTTAAGAATATTCTTTTTGAGTATTTTAAATCTTTTTATGTGTTGGATTATAGTTTTCTTGTACTTTGCAATTGTTTCTTGGAAGATGGGTTTACTCAACTGAAATGTATAAAATTTCACTTCCTGTGCCATGACACATTCACAAAAATTGATTATATATTAGGTTTCATTGAAAACATGAATCATTTTTGTAAAGTACAAATAGTATAATACAAATAACACTCTCCAATTGCAATGCAATAAATTGAGAAACTGCTAACAAAATAAAAACTAGATGGTCACTTTCATCTAGAAATTTTAGTTTATTTTTTATTTTTATTTTTTAAGAGACAGGGTCTTGCTCTCTCACCCAGGCTAAAGTGCAGTGGCACGCTCATAGCTCACTGCAGCCTTGAATTCCTGGGCTTCAGCAGTCCTCCTACCTTGGCCTCTCAAAGTGCTGGAAGTAAAGGCATGTGCCACTGCAAAAACTCCTGAATGAGAGAGGACATGCAAATTGAAATTACAGATTTAAAAAAAAGGAAAATAAAACACTACATATAAAAATCTATGAGATGCATTTAAAGCAAAGATTAGAGAGAGATTCATTTCATTGAACACTTTTACCAATAAAAATGAGAGTGGAAATCAATGGGAAAATGCCCAGATCAAAATATTAGAAAAAGAATAACAAAGTACACCAAAAGAAAGCAAAAAGAAGGAATTTATAAAGACAAAATAGAAAATAATGAGGTAGAGAGCAGAACAATAGAGCAAATCTAATCAATAAATCAAAGTTCTGTGATTTTTAAATTATGCAAATAAACTATTAGCTAATTTAATGAAGAAAAAGAAGTAGAAAGAAAAACTATACAAAATAAGATATGACAAGAGGGAACTATCCTTTAGAGAAAAATAAGTTTTCAAAAATCACAAGTATTTACTTTTCAGATATCCACATGAAGTTGAAAACCTAGATAAAATCAATAATTTCCTAGAGAAATACACATTACCAAGACTGAGCTTACTTGATTTTAAAAGCTTAAACAGATCAATATCCATGAAAGGCATAGAGAAAGTTATGAATGAACTACTTCACAAAAAACACCAGGCCCTGATGATTTCACAGTTCCAAAACTACTCTGTGAATATTACGGTTGAGCAAACTGTGAATATATGTTATTTGAATAACATATTAATATATGTGAATATACGATAATGAGCTTAGGTTTCTCACTGTTGGAAAAAGGAGTTACAAATAAGCAAAGGGGGAAGTCCAGATTGAAACTTGTGTTGGATTGTAATTGGAGGTATCAGTATGAACTCATGTTTGATAGGTGGTAGATAAATAGATATAAACATGTATACATTCCCATTATTTCCTAGCTTGGTTTGCTGAGAGAGCCTAGAAGTAATGACATCCTCATAGCAATAAGCACACCTTGCACCCAGATCTTAATTTCTAAATACCATACTCTGATAAGTGAAATCAGGGCCTCTTGGTGAAGTAATTGAGTCCGGCACTGGGGCCAGAAAACTGTAAACTAAACCTATAATATCTTGTGATGCTAGAAATAAGGAAGTGTTGACAAACGATCAAGGTGTCAAAAGGACAAAGAACACAGGAGCCAGCACAAAAGAGCATCCAATGGTCAAATCATGGACAATTTAGATAACTAAATAAGCAGTGATAGTAACGGGTTATGATCCATAGAATGAAATAAATATCCATGAGTTCATACTGCTATGAATTAATGAGTGAGTGAATGAATGAAATACCAAGTCACCATTAGTGAAAGACCACTCTGTAATTATCGCAGGCAAGTTCAAACAATGAATATCAAAATCTATGGATGAATATTTGAGGAGAAACAGGGTGTTAGCATAGTCTGAAAATATCTCCCCCAAATTTAGACCAGTTAAAAAGGGAAAAAGAGTAACTTTAACAACTAAGATTATTGACATCTTGAACTCTCTGATGTGATGCACTGAGAAAAGTATGATAACTACAATATTACTTCTGTGATATTTGCCCAAAGGCATAACTCCACATATAATCATGATAAAACCTAGGATACACACAAATTGAGGAAACTTTTACAAAATAAATTACCAGGATTCATAAAAAGTCTCATGATCATGAAAGATGAAGAAAGATGAGGAATTAATTGTCACAGATTGTAGGAAACCAAGGAGACACAACTAAATGCAATGTAGAATCCAAGATAGGATTCTGTACAGAAAGAAGGACATTAGAGGAAAATCTTTTGAAATCGAAAAGAGTATTGTAGTTTAGTTCATTGTGTTTTATTAATGTTGATTTCCTTTTTTTGATAATTCAATTAAGGTAATATAAGTTGCTAACACTAAGGAAAGGTAGTCAGAGAAGACACCTAAATTCTCTGTATTAAAGTCTAAAATTCTTTCAAAATAATTAAAAAAAAAAAGTCAAGTCAGCCTTGTGGATAGATTTGTAAAATTTTCTAAACCCAACCTGCTTTTTAGTAGCCTGCATATTTTCTATGGTGTTTCCAAGCCTTGTAGATGCTATAGCATGTGAATGCTATATGCCAGATTTTTCAGTTTCTATACCATACAGGAATTACCAATTTTCAAACGATCACTTAGAACTAAAACTAGATTGTATGTAATTGAATCTTTGACGATTCAGTAGGCACTTCAGGACTTTGCAATACCTCTGGATCATGATTATAAACGTCAAATTATGGTTGTACAGCATAGGAGACTCACACAGAAGTGCCAATTAACAGAGATTCCTGGTTGAGACAATGACACATAAATGAGTGTTTTCCTAATTCAGGCCTGAATTAGTCAAAGTGAAATAAGGAACTTGCTCTCTTTTTTTAAAGCATTTACTCTAAACTCACTTGAGCTTGTTTCTGGGCATTACACAGCTCTCTTGCTCTAAGGCAATTATAAGAAATTGGCTTCGTGTGCCATGCAACATGTTTAGGGTCATAGACGACAAGATGTAAAGCAAGAAAATTGAGACCTTACTATAGGCTGAGTACTTCAAGATGAGGAAACAGAATCTCATAAAGGTAAAGTAACTGGCTCCCATGCTCACTAAGCTAGTAAAAGCTCTTGCCCAAATCTTCCAGATTCCGAAACTCAGGTTCCTTGAATTATCCAAGACTGTCTTTAGAATAGAGATATAAAATTATTTGAGAATTTGGCCTGTGATGTTGTTTTGCTGTGTCCCCACCCAAATCTCATCTTGAATAGTAGATCCCATAATCCCCATGTGTCATGGGAGGGACCCGGTTGGAGGTAATTTAATCATAGGGGTGAGTTTTCCAGTGCTGTTTTCGTGATAGTGAATAAGTCTTACAAGATCTCATGGTTTTATAAAGGGCAGTTCCCCTGCACACACACTCTTGCCTGCCACCATGTAAGATGTGCCTTTGCTCCTCCTTCCCCTTTCACCATGATTATGAGGCCTCCCCAGCCATGTGGAACTGTGAGTCCATTAAACCTCTTTTTCTTTAGAAATTACCCAGTATCGAGTATTTCTTCATAGCAGTATGAAAATGGACTAATACAGTCTATCTACATTAGAGGGCAACATCAAAGGGGCACACAACCACTCTATATAAATCCTGCAGGAATACCATTTCTCTCATCATTTGAAGATTTGTATCAATTAGTTTATGACAAGGAAACTTGATTTTATATTTAATTATAAGGAAAAAAATCTCTTTTAAAAATGGTTCTACAAATCTATCTGGTTTCTTTTTTTTAGAGAAGCTATATACTGGTAATGTGCCTGGCAGGCCATTGCTATCTCATCAGACCAAGAAGAGGGTTTGGACTCCCAATGTTGCCTATTTGCCATGTGCAGCTTTTCAACAGAATAATACAATGAGTATTCTGAGAAGTTGATGATACCTTGCCATATTCAGAACTGCTGCTAAAAGGGAATATTTAATATACCATGCAAAGAGGCAATTGTGTTTTGGAAACTAGAAGTCAGTGTAGAGCTATAATCTAGTTTTGTTGCACTTACCGAGGTCCAGGATAGAATATGACCCTTGAGAGTAGGGTGTTCTGTAAAAAGGGACAAAAAAGCCATGGTCTGGTATTGGATTATATAGTTTTGGGAGATGTATTCCAGGACTTACAGCACTGGTTTTGACATACCCCATTGTGTCAACAATTTTTTTTCCAAATGGCTTTATGAAGCTATCATAAGGTCCTCAAAGCAAAATTAATTTGAATTAGCATACACACAGTCACGTAACTATACAGTACTTCCATAAAGAAATGGGAAAGATGTCATGAAATCTAAGAAGCACAGATGTGGAATTGCATCTTCAGAATCCATGGAAAACTCTGGCTACCTGGTGACTTTTGTGTAGTTGCTTGGCTCTGGAGGAAGCTAAGGCTTGTATTCTTTATTGGTAGGGGAGTCAGTGGAATACTTTATTTTAATTAATTAATTAATTTTTAGGGACAGGGTCTCACTCTGTCACCCTAGCTGGAGTGCAGTGGCGTGATTGTAGGTCACTGTAACCTCAGACTTAGCCATCCTCCCACTCCAGCCTCCCAAGTAGTTAGAACTACAGGCATGCACTACTCATGCCCGCATGCCAGCTAGTTAAAAAAAAAAAAATTGATAGAGACGGGGTCTCACCATGTTACCTGGGCTAGGTGAAATATTTTAAACACTTCCTCAGACATCTCCAAAGTCTACATTTTACATTCTTGTCCTGAAATCCAATCTTAGTTTCTAATGGCGTATATGTGTAAAGATGCTTTTAACAACACGAATGTTTAGTGTGGCATAGAAAGTCCTTGAGCCAAATCCTGCCTTCAATGTGCACTTAAGTTTCCATTAAAGGAGAGTGGCAACTGAGCTTATAGAGCTGAGGGTAACATTTGAATTCTTTTATAAGAAATCAGAGTACTAGGAACTAGGATATTGAATTTCACTTTTACCCATGCTGACATTGACTTTCCTCTGGAGCATCACCAACTAGTGAGATCTAGTTCAGTTGCATGATTTTTTGTTTTTCTTCAGTGACCAAAATCCAGAGATACAAATCCAGGGCTTAGGGGGCTCGCATATAGATTTGCCATATTGCTGAGGGTCTGTGAGAGCTTAATCACTTTCATATTTTATTTATAAAGCAAATGTTCCATGACATTGAAACATTAAATGTATTATACTCAGTCATGTGCAATGTATAATTTTCTAAAATCTCTGATTAATTTAATATGGGTGATTTTCATTCTTTGATATGTGGCCTTGGTGTAATTTATAACAAGCTATAAATATTTGAAATGCCATGGAAATGTGGTTTGAGGAATAGTATTAACACCTGCCTTCTGTTCTAGTTGGGTTATATTAAGTTCTGAATGTACATGGGTATGTTTCTGGGATATTATTTGAGCTGTGGTCTGTCTGTGTGTGTAGTGACTGGCTGAATTAAAAGGGGTTCTCACTATTTTCTTAGCTTTTGATCTGAAACCAAGTCTAATTTTGGGAGTTTTATAGCAGCATTCCTTTTCTGTACTTTGTAATTCCTTGTAGAAGCAGAAATGCCAAAGTACTTTGCATGCTAACTCCTCTCCTTCTTACTCCACACACCCTTCCCAACTCAGTATGTGCGTTATAACCAGGAAATAAATAACACAATCCCTGTTAAAGCCTGTACCCTGAGACACACACATTGGATATGGTCCTGGTGACATTCTTCCTGTCATGGTATGGCTCAGCCAACCTGCCCAGGGAACTACAAGGATTGTCTTGAAATCTGATCCCTTCCTGCTTCCTTGGCAAGGCAGTTGAAAGGGGCAGCCTCTGAGCAAAGTGGCCTAAGCTTTGCCCCTCCCACATCCATCTTGTTCTTAGGAAGGGAAAGAGTGAGTGCAAAGCAGAGCCTGTGAAAGCTTTTGGCTTTCCCTGAGCACTTCCTGGTCTCCACTACTGAGTAATCTGAACCTCATGAACCTCACTTCCCTTATCTGTCAATGATGGGTGATAATAGTGCTTATCTCATAGGATCGTTTTAAGAATTAGGAATTGCCCATGTGAAGAGAGAGAGGGGGGTGGAAGAGTGAGAGCACTCATGCACACTTGGTACACAGTATGGGTGCATTGTTATTATCGCTGTAGTTCTTTCCCCTACTATTAATAATTCTAACTGTAAATGACTTGGTATTGAGTCACAGGTGGTGAAACTACCTGTTTGTTGCTCACTTGGCAGTTAACGGCCAATCCAGTAACAGAATGTGGGATTCCTGACTCCTACTTTGGGGTTTATTCTACCCGATCATGATGCTCTTTGCCCTCTTAGTATTCCATATTTAATGATATCTATGTTTTTGTGCATTTCCTTTCAAAACGATAAAAACCAAAGTGAAGCAAAACAGAAAACAAATATTCTTGCAAATAACATTTAGTGAGGGCAGAGGAAATTGTACTTCCCTTTTCTGTTTCTCCCCCTTTCATTCTGAGTGAGCCATAGTATTACACGTAAAAGTTGTGTAGCTGCATCTTTTTTCTTCTACAAGATGAGTGATTTATTATTTATGGAATTGGCTTGGGATTTATTTATGCAAGTGAACTTCTGCCATTCCAACTGCATTTCCAGTGGGTAATGTGCCTGGAGAGTTGTGGGGGTTGGTGATCAGGCCGCTGCTACAATCTGGCATTTGGGAAATGGCATCAGGTTATCTCCACTTAGTGACATTGGGCTCAACTGATCTTATCAGCCTTTCCAAAGACTGCTGTGTAATAGTTGAGGGTGAGAATAAAATATGTTTTAAAATATATTTTATTTCTCTATATAGGCATCACAATCCCTTTAAAAGGTATTCAGGGAGCTTGTTAAATGGGAAATAAAGCTAAGGAGGAAACAACACTGAATGAATTATATTAGTTGACATTGAAAGCAGTAACTTATTAAAATAATGCTTTATAATTATTTTACTTAGCCCAATGTTTTTCAAATATTGCTCTGTCTTCCCAGTATTCCTAGCAGAGACATGAAAAACAGGCCCATTTATCAACTATATGATGTGACGGTTAAATGGAAAGTTGGGCTAGATTTTCACTTGTGTGAATTTGCACCCTGGAAGTTGGACATTCATGATCAAGTGGTCTGGCAGGTAGGGGAAGCCCTGGGTGAATGGTTGTTGATTTAGGCAGTGAGATATTTGGAAGGTAAGCTTTCTTTGGAGAAGCTGGCTTTGCTGTCTTGTCTCCAATTTGTTGAAATTAAACACTACATTCAGATAGTATGGTCTAATGGTTACAGTAATGTTTGTGAAGATGAGAAATGTATTTGTATACACATAAGATATATTAGTTTCCCATGGCTGCTGTAACAAATCATCACACACTTAGTGGCTTAACACAACACAAATTTATTTTCCCACAGTCCTGGAGTTCAGAAATCTAAAATGGGTTAGCAGGGTTACATTCCTTCTGGAGGCTCTAGGGGAAAATCCATGACAGCAACCCCTACCCAGTACGTTCCCAAACTCATCTTCCTTTGCTTCCTTAAAATTGCTCTTTCTTCAGACAGACTGGGACAATCACTGTGCCCTGAGTGGGCTGGTTGGACTCCTATCTCTGAGCCTTACATAGTCTCCATTCTCCATCTTGGGAGGCTCCAGTTTCAACTCCTCCATGAAGCCTTGCTTGCCCACTCCAGCCTTCAAGAATTTCTCCTTTCCCTGAACCCACCCGTAGTGGGCCCAGCCACTCATTTGGCAGTTGTTAGGGAGTGTCTAAATCAGTTAATTGTCTTTATATGTCAATGGGTCTTATTTTTCCAAATAATTATAATCTTGAGATCTGGGGCCATTCCTTGCACATTTGCATGCTTTCCACTCAGCATTTAGTACCTAGTAAGCCTTAAATACATATTTCTTGATAACAGCATGTGTGAATAGGGATTAACTTTGCAGGGCTTTTGTTCTGGGATTTATTTTCCTGTGCTATTAATCAGGCACTTCATGCCATTTAAATTTATTGACCTTTAATTTCTTAGGAAACCCCCTCAGTCTACCATAGAGAATTATGTACTGACTCATTTTCATGACTGTGAAACTATATGAAAGTTCATGTAAGTTTTGTGGTAAGCTATACACCATTTATAGTTCTGACAATAGCGACTTTTCCTAAGCCTCCGTCCATGTATCAGACTAGGCCTATTTAAAGAGAGTTCTTATCTATGGAGATTTTTCCTCCCTGCTTAAGATGTCTGAAACCTCTATTAACAAAGCCCTCTCTTCTTGTGCATTATACTTGTAAGGCATAATCTTTGTAATTTCCTCCAAGGATTTCCTCAATATGAAAGAGTAAACTGTTTTACCAAAGCTATTGAATATACATTGCTTTTCTAATAGGGTATTTTCCACCTGATACTGCTGTTGCTGCTGCCAAACTAAGAAATATATGCAACCACGTTAGCAAATGAACATGCTTCTAAAAACAGACACTGCATATGTGGGAAAAACATTTCTAGAGACTTACAAGGTTAAAAGGAGACATGATCACCAGACCAATCCTAGGTTTGTGGCTTATGTAAGACCTGGTTGGTAAGCTGGTTATTGTCCTTGTGGCAGCCCAGTAACTGGAAGAAACAACATGCTAGCTAAGGCCAGACATTTTGTACAAGAGAATTTTCTGATTAGTACGAAAAGATAACCAATGTGCAAATATTTGTGATCCAATTGGTGAAATTTCCCAAGTGCTTTTGAGACCTTGGAGAATGTGGCCTTCATGAAGTCATTCTTTGGTTCTCTCTTTCCCCCTTTTTGAAACTTGGCTCTTGAAAAGGAGGGGGAGGGAAAAAGGAGGTGGTCAATCTTTTAGAGAAGTTAGAAAATAATCACTGTAGTTGTGTCAAAGCTGCCCTTTGAGACTATAATAATGATCACATCATAGATTTTAAGGCAGTCTTTCACTCACAGTTTCTAAATTGGAGAGGCTTTTTCCAGGAGACTCAATAGTGACCATAAGGATTGTTGTTAGGCTTCATTATGGCCTGCTTCCATTTTACATCCCCTAATATATTAGGCCATAGAAATCAGAAGTGTGAATTCAGCCTTTCATTTATCATTGTACCTCCCCACTTATCGTTAAATCCTTAATTTTGAAGGCTCAAGTGGCCTATTGTGCTGGCAATTAGCCAATTGCAGGTGCAAAATCTTGATGGCATCCACAGGGAGGCCTTGGTGGGAATTGTCTGAAGAAATGGATCCGTCTTTATGCACTTGGATGCAGAATTTGTGAGGGGATGAGTGTAAAGAATATTAAATGCATAACAGATGACATCCCAGGAAAGAATTGCAAGTGAAAATGAATGTGAAATTGCTTGTCTACGGATTGATCTTCTTTGATTAGGCAAAAAAAAGACCCTTCACTCTAAGCCCTTTACAATAGAAATACCCAGGATACAGTGGGAATGGAGACATTTAGATGTATACTCCATTGCCATCTGCCTAAAGAGTTCAATAATGGGGTGGCCTTCAATGCCTTTCTGTCTCCATTCAATACCAAGGCAAAATGTTCGGGCTTGGAATGTGAGCCCCAGCACAATTTAACCCCCAGCTTTATCTCCCATCACATGCCCTCATGAGCCCTGTGCTATAGTCTCCTGTTGTCATCTGAGCCATATCTCTCTCTCTCTCTTTGAAATTCCTTTCCCTGCTTTATATACTCTAACTGATCTGTAAAGATGCACATCAGGTCCTCATCACTTCTGAGAAACATTTCCAGGTCATTCTAGCCGAAGATAAAATCTTTATCCACCACATTCCTGCTGCACTCTGTATCTCTGTTTTTGTACTTAGCCGTGAATTAGAGTGATTTATGTCTCATTGATGTGTGTACTCCTGTAAAACCTAGCTTGGTGCTTTGGCACCGGTTCATTAAATTAATAACAACTGTATATCCAGTTTAGGAAAAACTTGACATAAGAAAATCCGAGCACATTCTTCTAAATAAGATATGTAAGAATTGGCAACTCATTAACAACTTAATGGAGAGGCTAGGGGGACCATCAGAGATGGAGAGCTCAATTGTTAGGATAAACTATCAGTTGATGCAATTAGAAATGGAGACAAACCATTTTTAAAACTATAATCAAAGAGAAAGTGGGAAGTGACTGATGATAGCTTAATTTACACACAATTTTGTGTATCTACAAGCTTTGCTTTATTTTTATTTTTTAGCTACACCTTTCTGAAATTTCTTGCATTGTTGTAGGTGGAAAGCTGAATTGGCCCTTTGAATGAGAGCAATGTCTGCTAATGCCATTTATGAATCTAATGCTAGAGGCCAGATTGAAGAAATGAGACACAGTATTCTATTTTCAACCACCTGGAGGTGTGATCCCTGCTTGGCAAGGTGAACATAGATGAGATGCACTTTTACCTCATCCTAGCCAGCAGGATTTGGAAAGACCAACCATCAGAGTCAGCAGATTCAAAACTACTATAGCAGGCCGCCTCCTCCATGTCTTTTCCTCCCTCCTTCCCTCCCTCTTTCCCTCCCTCCCTTCTCTTTCTTTTCCTTCCTTCCTTTCTTTCTTTCTCTCTCTCTCTTTCTTTCTTCCTTCCTTCCTTTCCTTTTCTTCCTTCTTTCCTTCTTTCTTTTCTTTCTTTCTTTCTTTCTTTCTTTCTTTCTTTCTTTCCTTCTTTTCTTTCTTTCTTTCTTTCTTTCTTTCTTTCTTTCTTTCTTTCTTTCTTTCTTCCTTTCTCTCTCTCTCTCTCTCGCTCTCTTCCTCATCTTTCTTTTCTGCCTTTCTTCCTCCCTTTCCTTCTTTCTTTTTCACCCTTATGTTTCTTTACAGGCAAAGATAAAGGACAAATCAGTTTTCCTTAATGAATAAATGACTCTATGCAAGAGAAAGGGGGAATGATCATTTAATAACTTTACATTATTTCCCCACACCTCCCTTATTTCTTTAGTCCCAAAGTGAACGTAAATTTCTGTTGGCTGGTATAATTTTTTGCCTGGCTCCAAAATGTTGTCATCAATTCTTGAAGGTTTGCAGCAAGTTTATATGTCTTTTGTCATCCAGCACAATTCATGCCTGCTTTTTCCTCCTGTGACTTCCATACTAGGGAGGATTAAAGCCCATTTTAGCCTAAGCAAAACAAAGTGAAGAGGGTAAAATATGCAGCATGCAGAATCAAGAAATGCAACAATGCACTGAGAAGCCAAGGGCTTACTCTCCTCAGCTAATGCACCATTTCAAGTCTCTGTCACTGGCCTTCTTGCACATAGAAGGTATGTGATAACTTTGAAAGAGATCGAATGGAATTTTACATTGACAGTGTCGTTTTGGTGGTTTAAAGTTTAGATGGAGTTGTCAAACCATTATCGTGGCTCTGCATCATAATCTCTAAAAGAAAATTACTGTATGTGAAATTAAAATGAATAGTTTCTGATTTTCCCATCTCTTTTCTATTCGTGCCTTTAGGGGGCCTTTAAGGACTAGAAGGCAGAATATTATGAAAGGAGATAGATATATTTATTCTACTCATGAGAAGGCCCAATGCTCTTGGCTTTGCCGCCTGTGAATCATCATGTCTTTCCTCCCTTGAAGGATAAATATGGCATTCATTCCAACCCATTTAGCCCATTATTCTTTTGTATATAAAATAGGTCCAATTAAGACATTCTTGTGTTAATTTCTGCATTCTATGTATGGGTAGAAAGAATTTAAAAATATCCATCACAGCAAATGTCTCAAAATGTTTCATGCATACTGAGCATACCACTCTTGCCCCCCTCCCCAACCCAAAGGCAATAATTCACCCAATCATGGAGATTTGTGATTTTGTGTTTTCCACTTACCTACATTAAGGCTCTGTGTATGCACAATTCAATATTTAGATGAAGCCATATATTTGTAAATATCTGGTGTTTTTACTAAAAGTTTTCATTTTTATCCAGATGTCTGACATCATAGAAAATCAGTCTAAGAATCTACTCTTTATATGTTAACTCATTCATGGTTATTCAAGCATACAAACAGAAAGAGACATGCTTACCTTGTTCTTGTCTGCATCCCCTGCCCCTCCTCAATGAGCGAGGGGGTGGGATCATCATGTTCTGAAGTGTCTAACTGAAATTTCATTATGTGTCTTCCACTGGTCATGGAAATTCATTAGACAAGCCACTCTGGGCTTTAATCTTCCATTTACTAGCCGTATGATCTTGGGAAAGTCATTGAACTTCTCTTTGCAGCTGGCTTCTTTAACTCATAAAAATGAAAAGAACCCAGGGAAGAGTTGGGATCTTATAATTGCCAAGGCACCATTGCAACCCAAAGTTCTGTGAATTTCTTTACTTCTACCTTGTATGAAAATTAACAGTTGATGAATATTATTGTGCCAGTGTCCCTTGTGTTATAATTTAGCGTACTTTGAGGTGATGTTGACATCTTGTGTGTAAGTTGGTATACAATAACCAAAAACATTGTTTTCAAAATTTAAAATAAAAGGACAACATTTTCTTTTTTTTTTAAATTTTATTATTATTATACTTTAAGTTTTAGGGTACATGTGCACAACGTGAAGGTTTGTTACATATGTGTACATGTGCCATGTTGGTGTGCTGCACCCATTAACTCGTCATTTACATTACATATATCTCCTAATGCTATCCCTCCCCCCTTCCCCCACCCCACAACAGTCCCCGGTGTGTGATGTTCCCCTTCCTGTGCCCATGTGTTCTCATTGTTCAATTCCCACCTATGAGTGAGAACATGCGGTGTTTGGTTTTTTGTCCTTGCGACAGTTTGCTGAGAATGATGGTTTCCAGCTTCATCCATGTCCCTACAAAGGACATGAACTCATCATTTTTTATGGCTGCATAGTATTCCATGGTGTATATGTGCCACATTTTCTTAATCCAGTCTATCGTTGTTGGACATTTAGGTTAGTTCCAAGTCTTTGCTATTGTGAATAATGCCACAATAAACATACGTGTGCATGTGTCTTTATAGCAGCATGATTTATAGTCCTTTGGGTATATACCCAGTAATGGGATGGCTGGGTCAAATGGTATTTCTAGTTCTAGATCCTTGAGGAATCGCCACACTGACCTCCACAATGGTTGAACTAGTTGACAGTCCCACCAACAGTGTAAAAGTGTTCCTATTTCTCCACATCCTCTCCAGCACCTGTTGTTTCCTGACTTTTTAATGATCGCCATTCTAACCGGTGTGAGATGGTATCTCATTGTGGTTTTGATTTGCATTTCTCTGATGGCCAGTGATGATGAGCATTTTTTCATGTGTTTTTTGGCTGCATAAATGTCTTGTTTTGAAAGTGTCTGTTCATATCCTTCGCCCACTTTTTGATGGGGTTGTTTGTTTTTTTCTTGTAAATTTGTTTGAGTTCATTGTAGATTCTGGATATTAGCCCTTTGTCAGATGAGTAGGTTGCAAAAATTTTCTCCCATTCTGTAGGTTGCCTGTTCACTCTGATGGTAGTTTCTTTTGCTGTGCAGAATTTAGTTGAATTAGATCCCATTTGTCAATTTTGGCTTTTGTTGCCATTGCTTTTGGTGTTTTAGACATGAAGTCCTTGCCCATGCAAAGACCCCTTGAATGTTGAGTGTTGCGTGTTGATGCAATTCACACTCGCCTTATGTTTACTCCTTGTAAAATCTTTCTTGTGTATACCTGTTCGATAGAATCAGCGTGTAAGAAGCTCATACAAAATATGTATCCTCAAGATCGTGTAATATTTGGTTACTAAAAAGATTCACTGCCAGAAGAGATACAACAAAGTTCCTCTGAATTATGAAGTAAAACTTTGATTTAAAAAATGTTGCTTTCCATTGAAAGGTATCTTTCCACAAGGGAGAACATGATGATAGATCTTTACACAGGAGTGACATCCAGGGAGAGCATTTAGGGTATATATACAATGAACCTTACTTATTTTCTCTTTCTCTCTCTCTGAGTGTATCTGTACATTTATATTTATGTGTGTATATATTTATGTATGAATATCTATAGTTTATATTATTAGAAGATGAAAGTTATTTATAACCTGAATTATGTTATTTCTGTGACTAACTCTTTAAAAGTTCTAAATATCTGTTTGAGTCATTAAAAAAAATCTTATTTTCTTACCTAAGGGACAGTTGAGGTTTATAGCCTGTGTTAGTCTGTTATCATGTTGCTATAAAGAACTGCCCAAGATTGGGTAATTCATAAAGGAAAGAGGTTTAATTGTCTCACAGTTCACAGGGCTGAGGAGGCCTCAGGAAACATACAGTCATGGTGGAAAGGGAAACAAACACATCCTTCTTCACATGGTGGCAGGAAGGAGAAGTGCCGACCAAAGGGGGAAAAGCTTCTTATAAAACCATCAGATTTTGTGAGAACTCACTCACTATCACAAGAACAGCATGGGAGTAACTGCCCCCATGATTCAATTATCTCCACCTGGTCCTGACCTTGACACATGGGGATTATTATAATTGAAGGTGAGATTTGGGTGGGACACAGAGCCAAGCCATATCATAGCCTTGAGATTGAATGGATCTAATTTAAAAAAAATACCATTTCATTCCTTTACAAATATTTTGCTTTATGATGACATCAGCAGAAATTGATACAAGGTGGATTTTTATAAGAGGGCTTCATGTTAGCTGGGACAGTTTATTTAGGCATGGTTATCATTTTCTTATGAAGGAAACAGATTGACCAAAGGGATTCTGCTATTCGTAGAAGTGAGCAAGTACTGAACAGGGATAAATTTCTAGTCAAAATGGATGCCTACTGAACAAGACTTTTGGTACTGAAAGAGTATTATGTTGCACCTTTTGTCTTGCTCATGACCCTAGACCCCACTGCCTGATAACCACCAGAAGGAAAGAACTCCCTATGCCACTGAGTGAAGTTATGATGCAACCTGTCCAGAGGCCAAAGAATATTAAATGAGAACACCCAAGGACACCAGAAAAAATGAGATAAACATTCTTTTCTTCCTGTTTCTTCCTCAGCTTCTTATATTCTATTTTCCTTCACTATGACCTATTATTCATCTTCAAAATCCCTCAAACTGGCAGTTTTGAAGGATTCCACATGTAGCCTTGCATACAATCCCTCATGGCTTTCATAAAGACCGTGTCATTTGTCCTGCATGAGTCCCTCCTGACCTCTCTTATCCTGGGGCTACAGACTTTCTCCAAGATAGCTCAGGTGCTAATGTCAGCAAAACAAAGCTGATAATGATCGGTACTGTGTGTGGGAGTGCAGTCTGACTATTGAAACAGCACTAGAACAAGGACTTTGGACCAAATACATAGCTGAGCCCAGAGGTTGCATTATAAAAATGAAATCCCTCAACTTCCTTCCTGCACACACTTCACCTCATTTTGCTGGATGGCTCCAATGTAATTGATGAACATATTCTTTACCAGAGCTGTTAACAAATAGATTGAGAAAAAGTGGGTTTCATCTTTTATTCCTGTTATTAATCTTCCAAAAGTTGGTAAGATGTCCAGAAGATGAGAGATAGTTGGAAGATGGAATGCTGCATTAATTTAAGACCTCTGTGTTGATAGAATATTCCAGATATGCCTTCTGTAAACAACTGTATGGGAAAGATTTATCATAGTCCATGTATCTGAACTCCCAGTTGCATAAGCTACATACAGAAGTCAAACGGATGATATGTACCCAAATATATAACAACAGTTTTTCTCCATCTTGCCTCCCTAGAGGACTTTCCCAAACCACAGTCTTGATGACTGCTATTTCACACTTTGGCTATGTGATTTTATGAGTTCTGTGTGATCTACCAGCATATTTTTGTTTGCTTTAGCAATTTTACCAAGAAATACATAATTGAGATTATTGTCCTGACAAAGCATTTTCATCAGTGTGATTAGAAATACATAATTTTGAAGAGTGACAGTAATTGCCACCCCAATGTGTATGCACTTTTGAGGTTAGCTCAGAGGGACTAAGTCCTTAGAATGTCGATAACATGAGCGTGCAGATGTAGTCAGCATTGTCAAACTCCGGAGTTCAGTCTCAACAGAACTGTCACCAGGACTAGAGTCACAGGTGTCAGTTTTTCTTAGGGAAGAGTGTCTTGGGCCATTGGTTGCATAAAGTAAGGCTTGTCTCTCATTGTTACTCAGTAGTCTAGTAAGTGATGTTCTTAGGAAGTCCATACTTTGTGGTTTGTGGCTAGCAAATGTGAAGGGAATGAGTTAGGTGGCAGGGGAGCTGTGTTTGTAATAAAGATTGTTTTCATTTTTCCAATAACTCTTCACCTTCGTACCATTGTTATTCATACTATGTGCCTTAGAACTCCCAAAATGTAAGGTAAGGACCTTTAAAAATATATCTTAATTCATTCATTTTAGAGAAACTGAAATGTACAAATTAGTGCATTTTATCTCTGCTGGTTAATTTCTGAATCCTTCATTATGCCCTGGGTTCAATTAAAAAATATATATATATATATTGTTCTTCTAGTGATTTTTGGGTTGTAATATAGACTGATCTTACTCTGGAAAAGACATTCTCATCAGAAGACCTGGATTCCAGGCTCTCTAATACTAATTTTGAGCATGCTTTGTGATTTTGAGCAAGTCTTTTTACGTATCCCTACCTTATCTTAGCTACTCCTCCCTACTGGGACTTTTATTTTTCCTCTAGGAGATTTCTGGAACTTGTTGCCTCCAAAGGAAAAGCAGTGCCTCTTTAACTCTGATTTTTAGCAATTGTAGTAACCACCCATTTCATGAAAACCTTTTATCAGAGCTGCCAACTCATACCATAAAGGATGGATTCACATTTTTCAACTCTTCTATTTTCTGGTCTGCCCTTTGTTGGTGATTTCAATGAGTATCAAAATAGAATCCTTGCACAAGTAACATAACTCTCAGATAGCAAAATGATGATAGAAAGCACTCTCAAAGGAGAGCTGTGCAAGGCAGTGAATGCTTTATGAGCCAAACAAGCACCTGAGTTTGGAAGAGACGATTCCAGGGAGCTGTCCTGGTCTAGCTGCCATAGCAGAAGTGATGGCAGGAGCTAAGGACATACCAATTTTTATGCTTTCCTGAATCATGGGATCTGTGATTAGAGCAAGAGCCCTTTTATTGGACGAGCTTGGGACAAGTTATTGGTTGGCTAATCAAAAAGTCATTTCAAGCAAGGAATTATTTAGAAATTTTAACATATAAAGCATTTTGTTTTAATGTGTATAATATATATATTCATTTTCTAATTTTTGGTGGTCTTTTTTGGAGTATTGGATGACTTATTGAAGTTCCATGTTGACTTTTTTTTGTATAAACCACACCCTTTATCCATTTCCAGTTTAAGTTTCTTTGAAGTGGAACAGGGCTTACAGGCACTTGGGAAATGATCTCAGCAGTTTTTTAGTGATACATTTTAATCAAGTTTCTCTAGATATTCAGCTGAGTTTTTATAGAAACAGTAAGTCTGTTTTTCACTCATATTTAGTCAGTTTATCTTATATTTGTTTCAATTATGTAATCATAATAACAACTACAATTGGCATAAACTCTCCTGTGGTGAGAACGCAACTCAACTAACAAGAACATTGTGTTTCAGGCACTCTATTGAAGAGCCCATTAGCTGTGGATATTTAGCTTTTTTTGAGTAAAATGTGTTAGGATCATCCATTCATTTATTTATTATATTTAGTGAGCTACCTACTATGTGCCAGGTACTCTGCTAGGTGCTGGGAACATATTGGTGATGCAATAAAATGCCACTGACCAGGAGCTTACATTCTAGTGGGTGAGTCAGAAAGTAAACAAGTAAATATAGCTATAGAGGTTTGTCCTATTTACTTTAGTCTATTATGCATGATTTGCAATTACTAAATTATGATGTTAACATGTCAAGAGCATTAGGACTATACTGCTAATTTAACCTTGTTACTTTAACATTGTCAATTGTTTACTTGAAATCCAGCACCTGAGTGATTGAAAAGTTTCATATTCTCAAGCCTGAAAGAGTCAAAGTGAAGTGGGGCATTTTTGTCATGTGATACCTCCTGATGCTTATAAAGTAGATGCAAACAGCAGTTGAGGCAGCCCTTTGCGAAAGCTCTGACAATGATTTCTATTATTCAGTGCACATGGGTTGAGCTGTAGTAGTCAGGGTCCTTCAGAAAAAGAGAACCAGTAGGAGACAGTGTAGTGTAGGTAAATAGAGGGAGAGAGAATTTTACTTTAAGGGATTGACACACAAAATTGTGGGAGTTGGCACATCTGAAGTCTGTAGGGAAGCCAAGAGGCTGGAAATTCAGGTAAGAGTTGATGTTGCAGTCCGGAGGCAGAACTTCTTTCCTGGGAAACCTTAGCCCTTGCTTGTGACACCTTCAACTGATTGGATGAGATCCACCCACATTATGGAAGGTTGACTTGACTTAAAGTCAACTTGTTGTGAACATTAATCACATCTACAAAATCCCTTCCCAGCAACACCTAAACTGGTTTTGACCAGCTGACTGGGGACCATAGCCTGGCCAACTTGATATCTGCAGTTTACCATCACAAGCACCTACTCTATAGGTGCAGCGCTCAGTGCTGGGAGCTGACAGGCTCAGTTTCTATGCTCAAGAGCTCTAAGTCAAGACTGTCTGCCTTGAGTATCAGAACCCTACAATGTAGTAGGGAGTCAATTGCTATTGTCTCTTGCGATGTAGTCCCAGGCCAACCTGTGCCAGATTTCTGGCATAGGCTGTTTGCCTATTCCTGCCACTCTCCTTCCCATGCCACGTTCTCATTCACTTACTCCTTGAACTCAGCATATTATTTGGTAGCCATGGTTGTATAGTATTTTAACTGAGTTGTCACTAACCTTTTACTCCAACTACACTGTAAGCTCTTCAGGGACATTATGTGTTTGCATCCTGGCAAGGAGGCTGATGAAGATGAAGCAGGGGCTTGGTAGAAACAATTCAGGTGCAGTGTGTTGCCATTGATTCTAGTAGGAATTGCCCAGAGATTAAGAAATAAAAATAAAAAGTCATCAGATTAGTTCTAAAGGTTATAAAGATGGTATCATATAATATAAAGAAATCCACATGCTGTATTTTTCTGGGCAAACCATTGCTCTTTGCTGACCCTTAGTTTTCTCATATGTAAATGAAAGGGACAGATGAAGTGTTCTCTTTGCTCTAAAAGCCAGTGATTTTAATTGACTTCCATGCAGAAGACCATGAGTGTTATTTAGTATTGAAAGAATGGCAAACATTTGTTTTTTCTAAACCTTTGAAAGGCTTAGAGCTGGAAAGAAATTGTTCTTTTTAAGATCTGTGTGAATTGGTGTGCCTTAAAAAAGTGAAATGATGTGTTTGTATCTCCCATTCCACTGTGCCTAGCTTAGTGCCTGGCACCAAGGAGGTGCATATTAATGTTTGCAGAAACTGACTGAGAGAAGAACTTAAATATTGGAGGGTTTATTTTAGTCCTAATATTTTATGTGAATGTATTATCACTTCCATTATATAGTTCATATATATGTCCCACTCAAACATTTGAATATATATATATATATATATTTAACTTGGTCTAGAATTTAAACCACTTCAAATCATATGAGGAACAAGAAGAGTTATGTTAATAAATATATAGGTAATAAAAATAAAAATAAACAGATAATCTGTTTGCATGGAAGACTCGTGTAGGTATTATGTATTAACATAAAATAACCACAGAGTTTCAAACTGCATCAAGCTAGAAAAGCAACTCCAGATTCATAGTCCCAAGTGTGAGCCTCTCCTATCCCAGTTCTTTTGAAAATTTCTGCCTCTTTCAACGTGAGGTTTCATAATTTGGCCAACACATGTGCCTTTAAAGCCTACAGGGTTGGTAGAAGGTCTGTGATAAGCTGGCAGTTTTGTTATTCAGATAGTGATTTTGTCACTGCAATTTGACAAAAACTACACATCTAATTTAATTTTTAAGATGTTTCTAAACCAGTAGCTCTAGACATAGCAAGCTAATGTCAAATAACATAGGCTTATTTTGTAAGGGCCAAGTCTTTAAATTTCTGACTTAGTGGGCAATTTTGAAGTGTCGAATAATGCATCTTCTCACAGTTAAGCTGCTTTGAATCAGCAGAGGTTTTGCAGTCCGCAGTCCCTTCCCCATCACCACGTCTAACCTCGTCACCAGCCACTTTTTATTCTGAACTCCTCTCCTTTAGCACCTAATTTTGTCATTCTGTATACACAAAACTATAATGATCTGGGTTAAAATGTGTTTGATTCCAACATAACTTAAAAAAAGCTTTCTCAGGATGTATCAGCATTGAAGTTGCTCCCATCTTTTAAAGCAATGCAGCCATATTACCGGCATTATTTTACTTTGTATACCTGCTTCAATATATATCTTATATTGCCTGTGCAGATATTTAACTTGCTGATCATAGCAAAATGAGTTTCAATTGATTTATGTATATTTTTTCTTTATGTATAGATATACTTCTTATTGAACAATGATAATCAGAAGGAAAATAAGACTAGATTGTTGAAAATCAATGTAATTAGTGTTGATTTCTCTTTACATTTCTTTTTGTTTACATATCATTAGTATTTATAAAGCTAAAATAATATTCACAGTTACTTTCAATATAAGAGAAATCACTACTGCCCAAAACTAGACTATAGGGCACCCAAAATCCAGATGGGAAGTAAAATTTCTGTCACATGTCCAATTTTCCCCCAAATGGTAACAGTCCTTTTTATACTTGCACATCATCTGCATCCTAAACATGTATTCAGAAACATTGATGCGTCTAAGAATGGAGTTATAACAATTGTCCGAGGATGTCTGGAATTTAGTTTGTACTTAGCCCATAGCAAAATGCAAGTGAACATAAGAAAACCACTTCCAACATTTTGAGTCTCTAGTTATGAGCTCCATTTTCTCCATTGTTCTTTTTTTTTGCATGCTAATTAGATGAGTTTGTCTCTTGTGAATCTATCTCTGCAGGCTTCTGTACCATTTCCTTGTGTCTATGAGGGACCTGTCACTCTTCACTGACTTCATCTTAATAATTTGCTTTCCCTGGGGGCCTTGCTTGTCCACAGGGATTAGCTACTCCAAAGAAGGGATACCTAACTTGAGGCTCTAAGCTCAGCAGCCAGGCCCTGTCAATAGCTGTGAATAACTGACTTCTGGGCATTCAGCTGCACATGAGCTTCCAGAGGTGCAAGATTGATGTGTCCCCTGCTGGCTTAGCATGCTGGCCTGTCCTGAGACTAACGTGACTTGTAGAACTGTTACCTTGTCACTGACAGATTTGCTTAGTGGTGCTGACTTTTGGCCCCTTACTCCTCCCGCCAAAGCAAAGGTCAGTGCAGCAAAAGACATCTTCAAAGGACAGGAGAGTGGTCACTCTTTCCAGTCAGAAAGAGCATGTAGCTCAGTCAGCCTCATTATCAGTCGCATCTGGCCTCCCACCAATTAGAGGACACTTCATTTAGTGATCTAGTGCTGCCTGTCCCTTCCTCCTCTGGACTGGATGGACATCAGAAACTTCAGATGCCAGTTACCTTTCTTTCATTTCTCTAGTCTTATTAATGTGTTACTTTAAAAAAGTCACACTTTCTTTCCTCCATCAGAAAAATGTCTTTGTTCCTAAAGATAGAGGATCCTTCAGCCATTCTAACTTAGAAGGGAAAGGTAAAATGCATTAGTTCAATTTAAGCACCAAAGACTGTTATCACCAATGACCTGTTTAAGCAGGGTGTATCATGGGGATTAATGACAGACTCAAGGGAGCTGATGACCCACAGCCAAACCAAAAGGCCATTAACTCCCATCAGTTATTTAATTCCTGGGGAAAACCCGTTTGGAGGTAATTATTGCTGTTATAAACTGGACAAAAAACAGAGGTGCACGAGTTATATTAATGAACCCTGATCATTTTATTTTATAATGTTAATCCAATAAAAAAGTAAATGGTTTTAAAAATTTGAGTTTCACTTTTTAATTTCTAAGGAAATGCTCCTTTGGAAAAATTGGTGGTGCCAAGAGAGGCCCAGCAGTTTGGTGGACTCTCCCCCTATTCTGTCTTCAATTCTTAATCTCAGACATGCTGAACTAAAGAGACATGGATGTCGGGTGGTATTGTCTTAGAGCAGCATCTCTCTACCATTTACTCTTTGTGGTTATTTGTGTTAATATTTAGCCAGACAGGCCTTCTGCTTGCCAGCTTGCACCCAAGTCATTTTACTCTCCTGGTGCGAGTTCAGGTCTCTTCTTCACTCCCTCCTCTACTCCCACCTTTGTCAACCATATTTGGCAAGAATGTACTATGTCCAAGGTGCTGTGTTCTATTGGGTGTAGGTGACATGGATGCATATTTGATATTAAAGACAAAGAGGTTAGATGATAGGATTTCTGAGATGAAAGGGGGTGCATTAGTTTCCTAGGATGGCTGTAACAAACTGCCACAAACTTGGTGTCTTTAACAATGGTTATATTTTTTTCTTACAGTTCTGGAGGCCAAAAGTCTAAAATCAAGGTGTCCAGGGCCACACTAGCTCTGAAAGTTTTAGGAAAGAATTCTTCCTTGCTTCTTCCAGCTTCTCATGGTCCCAGGCATTCCTTGGCTTTTGGCTGCATTACTCCAATCTTTGTCTCCATCTTCACATGGCCTTCTCTGTGTCTCCAATCTCCCTCTCCTTTCTCTCGTAAGGGCACAAGTCAATGGATTTAGGACCCACCCTAAATTCAGAATGATTTCATCTTGAGATTCTTAATTTAATGCGGTGCTAAATACCCCATTTTCAAATAAGTTCACATTCACGGGTTCTGGGTGAACATATATTTTGGAGATCACTATTCAAAATACTATAAGACTGGGCATAGTGGTTCATGCCTGTAATCTCAGTGCTTTGGGAGACTAAGGCAGGAGATTGCTTGAGGCCAGGAGTTTGAGACCAGCCTGAGCAATCTAGCACTCCATCTCCACAAAAATAAAAAATAAAAAAATAGCTAGACATGGTGTCATGCACCTGTAGTCCTAGCTACTCCAGAGACTGATGTTGGGGAATTACTTGAGCCCAGGAATTTGAGGCTCCAGTGAGCTATACCATGATCCCGCCATTGCACTCCAACCTGGGTGACAGAGCAAGATTCCATTTCTGAAAACAAAAACAAAAAGCCAAATGCTACAGGAAGCAAATTCCAGGCAGGATCATTAGAGAAGACTTAATAGAAGAAGTAACCTTTACATGTAGACATGTAGAAGAAACGTTTTTCGAGGTGGAGAGAATATCATGAGGTCAGAGACACAAGACAAAGGAGGGATTGTGGCAAGGATGGAGTTGCAGAAGGATTGAATGGGGGTCAGCTTGCCCAGGCACAGAATGTAGAGGACAGAGGAGTGAGGGGCAAATTTAGGAGATGGGCATGGGCCATATTGTAACCATTGGCCTGGGAAAGACTGAACACTGTAAAATAAGACAGGAGACTTTAGAAATGCTTATAAGAGAAAGGTAATGAAAACAGGGCAGTAGCAATATCAATTGATAGGAAGGACTGGATTCTGAAGGTAAAATGAATGGTCTGGAAGCTTGTAGATTTCATAGATGGATGAATTAGTGTGAACAAAGAGCAGTAAAGGGAAGGAGGCAAAGATGATGCCCATATGTCATGTCTGTGTGACTGGGGGTTTGGTGAAATTGATTAAAGAAATGAGCAACACAGGACAAGGAGCAAGTTTGAGAAAAAAATTGTATCATATGAACTTTGAGACATTGGAGGGCCAGGCAGAAATGATCCTCTACTAGGTGAGATTTCAGGGCTTGAGTTCAAGGGGGTATCACAGGTGTCTTTTATGTAGATTTGGGTGTCTTTTGTGTAGAGCACCCTTCAAAGCTCTGAGATTGGCCAAGCTGGCCAAGGGAAAGCTTATGGTGTTCGAGAAAGAGCAAGCACAAGGAGAGCCTTGGGGACTTCCTCAATGGAAGGAGGAGAAGCCAAAGGTGGGAAAGGAGATTGTAAAGAAGAAGCCAGGGCAGCAGAATTCAGAGCTGGTGAGGCCCATTTTCCTGAAGCCAGGCAGGAAGGTGTCAGGAAAGTGGAACTGCTTTGAAGTGAGAGACTGGTGATGGGGGGACAACACTGTGAATGTACCTAATGCCACTGAATTGGACACTTAAAAATGGTTAAAATGGCAAATTTTCTACTATATATTTTCTATTATATATTAATATACTTTAATTTGAATAAAATATTAATGTAATATACCAAAAAAGTGGAAATGATCAACAATGTCAAATACTGTGGATGAGTCTATGGAGATAACTGGGAAGAGAAAGCAAACTACTTTTAAAATATTTGCCAGAGAGAACCAACCATGATTAGAAAGGTTATTTAGTTATCCCCAATCATCCTGATTTAGTTGGCACTTTGAAAAACATGTTAGCATATTGGGTTACTTCTTGTGTTGAACACTTGGCATTATAAAAAATTATTGGTCTGGGACAGGTAGGTAACCAAAAAAAAAAAAAAAGAGAGATTTATTGGGCTATGAATGCATGGCCTCCTTAGAGCCAAAGTGGTCATACACATTGAAGCAGAGAAAGCTAGCTATGATATTTGTTTCTAGAAGTAAAATCCCAATTCTGATAGTTAATGATATGCTAATTGCTGTAAAGACATAGTGGCAGTTTCTTCAAGACTTTGACACCTTCTCCAGATTGATATAACAGCTGCACTGTATTGGAAAGCTACATTCTGCTTTGGCAGATGAATGGTGGCAGTCTCTAGCAGGCATCTCTCATGGTTTGCTAAGATATCAGTTTGACTCTAACATTTTTTTTATGTGTTGGTTGGCATTGCCCATAGGAGTGAGCATTTGCTCTATAAGTAAATGTGACTTTTATCATAGTACTATTAGATATACTGAAATAAAATATGTATTTCCCAAAGTGTATCTCATTTTAAAGTAATTATCCAAGGAAAATAGAAACCTCATAAAGAATATTAATTGGCCTCAGGTGAATTACAACTATATGACAAGAGTTTGTGTGTGTGTGTGTGTGTGTGTGTGTGTTCTGAATGATCAGCGAGGTTGAAGGAATAGGGAGAAGATGATAATCTCTCTATGTCTCAGTTTTCTTATCTGTAAAATGAGGGGACAGGACTGATTAGCCTCTGAAAGCGTACTTTCAACTGTAAATATTATGTGCTTCTAATATTGAGAATGGAACAGCAACAGACATGCCTAAAACTTTGAGATAAAGCTTTATATGCTTTCAAGTGGCAAATTGTTAGTTTACTTTAATGAATCCAAACTTTATGAAGTCAAATATTTGATTAATTGCATCATTAATCTGTTTCTATTAGCTGATTGAAACAAATTGTTTATTAATTTCCAGTTGGTAATATGTAAATTTATAATTTAATTAAAATCTCATTATGTATTTTTTAAGACAAAAGGCACATTGGTACAGAGTTTGATGAGTGAGACACAGACAATGCTATAGAATCAGTTCAGCTGCAAGAAAGACAATTTGTTACCAGGCTCTGTGCAGAGGGAGAGCTGGGCCTGGGGCCAAGCTACTGGGCCCACTTAGAATCACAAGGAAGCTTTTTATAGAATGTGAGTTCCCTTGAACACTGACATGCTTCCTCGGTGAGTCTGAAAATTAGAACTTTAGAAGTGAGAAGGCTTCTCAGGATTATCAGGCTCTAGTCCGGCTCCCTGTCAGGTATTTGAACCCACAACTCTTGAGCCTGTTCAGTGGGCCAAGTAAAGCTTGCTTCCCTGTGGATGGAACCAAACTCACCATCATACACCTTCTTCTCTGTGAACCCCCAGGAAGTCTGCTTTATCTTCCCCAAGCTGTGCTTCAGAGATTGAAAGACAGAGCCCCTATGTGCCGAGTCTTGTCTTTTTAAAGGCAAAATATACCCAGGTTTTTTTAACAACTGTCCACAGAACAGCGTTGTGAGCCCACTCTGCTTTCCTTGAAGCTGATACATTCCATTTTACCTAGTTCCCTAGAGAGTACCAGACCCCACAGAAATGCCCCCTGTGTGGGGTCTTACCAGAGCTTCTCTGGTCAGGGTTACCAATTAAATGTATTTTCCGTAGAGACCTGTGTGCACGTTAGTGAAGCATCTTGATGAGGGAGGAGGTTTCTCACACAAAGGGCCTGAAGGTAGCCATTTCCCAGGGGGCATTAAAGTCCCTCACTGGGCTTAAAAATGTGCAGGGGCCCACATCTTGGTGATTTGGTTTTGATTTTCTGGATAAATTTGGGGAGCAGTTTTGAGTGAGATACCACAGATAAACATTTGCCTTTGCCTTTGTAGTGTAATTATTGACCATTTGGGGTAATATTTTTATTCCTTGTTTTCCTCAAAGACTTCCCTGATAGTTGCAGGTGGGAAACACTGAAGGTCACCTGGGTGCAGGTTCCAATGATGTTTCCAAGGTGGGAGACAGCTTGCCTCCGCCCATTGCCCTCACTCCCGCCTAACAGTAGAACGTTTAGGACGTTTCTTTTGGGCACTTCCCTCCATTGGAGGAACGGATCTTGCAGACGAATGTCCTCTCTTGCCGCTCCTGTGTCCATTCCTGTCCCCAGCCAGCCTGCCCTCCTTTCTATGTTTTATAACTTTTCTGGGCAGAAAGACAAGGAAACCTGCTGGTGGAGTCCAGAGAATACATTCATCCCTGCTAACCTTTACAGGTTCCCCTCTCATGACTGTTCATCAAATCTCTGGTTCAGCCTGACCTGTTCTTCATAGCTGCCATTCCACGGTTTTCCTCTTTCTGTGAGCTGAGGTTCTTACTTACCCCAACCTGGGCAGATGAATTCATCTTCTGTTTCTCTAAGGAAATCAAGGTCATTTGGCCATTTGGCATGAGTTTCATAATCTTTCTTCCTCTCCACCTGTCATAGTGATTCTCACTGCTTCCAAGTATTTGTCAATCTTCAGCCCCTTCTTACTTTCCCCCACAGAGTAAGAAATAACCTGATGCCATCCCAAATTGGTCTCTCATTCTTCATTCTGCCAGTGCATTTGAGCACCCATGAACAATGGGATGATATTTTCCTCTTTAGGTTAGTTGCAGGGTTCCAGAAGATTATACTTGTCTAAAGACTCAATACCAGAGAAGATATAGCCCAAATGTAATGTACCCTTTATCAGTCTAAGAAAGTAGTGAAATTATATTGATAAACGATTTACAATTACATCTATAGAAAAGGAAAAAAGCTCTCAATTTTGCATACGATTGCTTTAAGAAAGTTTTTAGAGAGAGGAAATATATATGACTGTCATATATATATAAATATATACGACTGTCAAGCACATACGTAGAAGTACAAGGGCAATGCGCAACCTGACTGATTGAACTGGGAAAGATATAGCAAGAAATTTTCAAATTCAGACAGTTTGGTACCTACACAGACTGTGAAGAGAAGAATAAGCCAAAGAGGCCAGCTCCCTATTATTCTTTCCCCACACAACAAGAAGGACAACAGAGAAATAAAAGGGGCCAGATGGCTGTAAAGTGAGTTGTAGGATACCTCATTGCTGAAGACTTCATTCTAGTCTGCAGCTAAGTGACATTTTTACTCAGAGCTCCATTGAAAGGCAGGGGGAGGAGGGCATGGGCCAGAACCCGGGAGTTGTTGAGAAACTGGCTCATAACAGCCTTCCAGAGGAGTTAGGGAGGTAAGTGGGAGATAGCCTCAGAACAGCTCTTTTAATAACGGCCTAACATACTCTTGTGTTTTGGGAGATCACAAGGCATTCCACAAAGGCTCAGATCAGCTATGGTTCAAACTTCTGTTTGTGTGGATATGTGCAAGGTTGCCAGGGTACCATGCCAGAGCCATGCCCCAAGAACAGTAAGAGACCATGTAAGGCACAGATGAATAACATGTGTCTTAGTGTCTATTTAAAAGCCTACCTTTGTGAGAAGAGGGATTCTATTGAAATGCAGCCATCATTTTGGATTTCACTGGTCTATGAACCTGGTAGTGAGAGACTAAAAACAAATTTGTATTGAACTTGAATGTTAACTTAATAATCAAATAAATACCTTCATGTTTAATGCTTAAACAGAATTTCATTAAAATTTCTTTGACGTTAAGCCAAATTTTGAAGTGAATTGGAACTGGTTTGCATTTCTTAAATTGGTCTTTCTTTGGAAATAATGAAAAAGTGTTAGAGTCTTGGCCGAATTCCAGTGACTGTGACTCAACTTGTTAAAGTTAAATTTTAATATTTACACATTACATAGTATAATATTTATACTAGGCAACAGATTGGGTGTGTAGAATTCAAAATAGGATACACTTTGACTTGGAATTGCAGTGTGGTAGTCATTACACCCGGAGAATTGGGGGTTATCAAATACTGAGACTGAGGCAGCCCAAGCAAAGGAGTTTGAAATATAAACACTGCTAAGTGTGCAGTTCCAGCTTGTACTTATGTGTTGGTTTTCATGACAATGTGTGCTTTGTACTCTCGCCGATCATTGATTTTACTGTTGTTGAGATACTTAGGGGAAAGCTGGCTTGTACATGACACCTTCTACTAGGTTGGATGATAATGTAGTCAGTGAGACTGCCAGTGACCTCCTCTCAGCCTGCCAGGAGCCAGGCTGGCTCACTACTGGAAAGTAGGAGAAGTTATGTAAAGATGAATGTAATCATAGAATCCCAGAATGTAAGAATTGCTTAGCACACTGGAAACTTTCCAGTACAAACTCCCTGTTTTACATGTGAGGAAGCTGAGGCCCAATAGGGTTAAATGATCTGCTCAAGGTCACTGAGCTAGTTAGTGACAGAAAGATGGAAACCCAGGTCTCCACTTCTAATCCAGATAGATTAACTACCCCTGAATAGAAACTCACATGTGGTTACCTGAGATTGATCTATTCGAAGATATAGAAATAAATAATGGAGAAACTCCTGGATCAAACATCCCTAGATTTTTTGGCAATGATGTTGTAAAGGGCATTCAAGAGTCATTTATAGTATAGAATGCAACTGGATGATACTGCAGTTCCTTTCAAAAGTCAGAGTTCCAGGAGTAATGTGAAAAAATAGCAGCAAATACAAGATGGTGTAGTATTAAACTCTGAGGTCTAGTGCCTAGAGGGCAAGGGACTCAACACAGTGCCCTTTCTCACCCAGTCACGATCATACACAAAGAGATTACCGGGCCAACTTGTTAGGTCATGGGCACCCTGAAACTAATCTTACTGCTTGTCTGAAAGAGGATTCGACACATTGGATGAAACGTGGGACAGTTTAACTGCATGACTACATGCAGCCTCTTCTACTCTGTGGTACTGTAATGTAAATCTGCCTGCCTCATCCCTCAATTGTGGATGTGCATATGCATGTGCACACACACACACGCATACACAAGCCTCATCAGCATTCACCGTACCCTTATATTCAGTCATATAATTGGCTTAATAGCGTCTTGTTGTCCCTAGAAGATAAAATTGAGACAACCACTTACAAAGAAAGCATTCTGTCAGTCACTTGGCCATTTAGTCTCCACATCCTTCTTTATTTAATAACTCTTTCTACCTTGTGCCAAACCTTGGGCTTTCTTTGGAGGGCTTCCAAGTTACCTTTTTCCTAAACTAATCCCACACAGTCTGGAATATGACAGCCTTTTCACATAGACTGGATTGCTTGCAGACACTATGTCCTGTTAAGTTTGTACTGATTCATGAGCATTTTAAGTGAAACTTCCAAAACTCATTTTATCTGTTCAGCCTCCTGTTTACAAACCACATGATATAAGAATGCTCTTTTCCCTTCCTCTTTCACCTTTCCTTTCTCCCATGAAAAAGTGAACTAAGATCAAGGGTCAGAATAACCCAAAGGGTGGTAGAGAGAAAAGAGCACTAAATGAAGAGTCAGGAGACTTGGGCTCTGGTCCAAGTCATGCCACTGACCGGGTGGATGACATTGGACAGTCAACTTCCTTTTCGTGTACCTGATCTTCCCTAAAATGGAAAATGATGCCTTTGATCTCAATACCCTCTAATAACCCTTTGATTGAAGGTTGTTTTCACGCTCAATTTTCTCCTGTTTTCATGTTCCCGATTTGAACTACAATAAAGTGTTTCGCAGGTGTGTGGTGTCTTTTAGGGTAATTTTCCTTCTATTGGAAGATGTATCATCATCTCTATGGTTGCAATATCACTGAAACTCCTTATTATCAATAAAATGGATGGGTTAATATGTTAGATTTTATAAATGAGTAACCACAGATTTCATATGACTGTAATATGTAAACATGACAAATCTGTCTTTGATTGTTGTGCCCAAGTAAAACGTAAGAGGGCAACTGGGGCCCCACTTATCTAGGGAAATCGAGCATCTAGTTATTTGAGGTAATTAAAGCGTCTTGTGTCAGACTCTTAAGCTACTTGCATATGAATAGAAAACATTTCCATGGTCACTTTTGGATGGTTACTTTTGCTGAGTTTTACAGAATAATAATACCTTACATCTCTATGTAAGTGGGACCTGTTCCCTCTTCTCTCCCTCTCTCAAACATCTAGTGTCTCTTCTCATAGAAATAACAAGCATAGAGATAAATGATGTGTATAAAGCAATTTGTCTTCAACAGGCATTTTCACATACCTTATCTTATTTGAGGGTCACAGCAATCCCCGGAGATACTTAACTGTTGAGAAGAGTCAGCCTTGCAGAGCTGAAGTGGCTCAACTCAGCTCTCATGGGCATTAAATGGCAGAGCAGGTGTGGATGACACAGGCCTTCAGGCTCTTCCCTTCCTCACCCAGTGGACACTCTTCATGTGTGAGGTGGTTCTGAGAAGAGACATTTGAAAGTTTTCATAAACCATTCTCATGCATTAATTTGCCTCAGGAAGAATTTTGAAGCCCTACTGTATGTCATGTAATGGTTTGAGGCACTAGGATGACCACAGTGAACAAACCATTATACCTGTGTTAGGCAAAATAATGCCCCGCCTCCCCCAAAATGTCCATGTCCATATATATATAATGTGAATACACTACAACACAAAAGGGACTTTGCAGATGTGATTAAGTTAAGAATCTCTGGCTGGGGAGATTATCCTGGATTATCGTGGTGGGCCTAAAGTAATCATAAGGGCTCTAATAAAAGGAAGGCAGAAGGGTCAGAGTGAGAGAAGGAGATGTGATGAAACAAGTAGGGGTGAGAGAAAGAGAGATCTGAAGATGCTGTGCTGCTGGCCTTGAAGATAGAGGAACGGTCGCCAGCCAGGCAGTGAAGGTGGTCTCTACAAGCTGGAAGAGGCAAGGATATGGATTCTCCCCTGGAGCCTTCAGAAGGAACGCAGCTCTGCCAATACCTTGATTTTAGCTCAGTGAGACCTATTTCAGACTTCCTACTTCCAGAACTGAAAGAGAATAATTTTTTTGTTGTTTGAAGCCATTGCGTTTGTAGTAATTTGTTACTATGAAACTGATGTAATACCTGTCCCTAGTAACTCATTATGTATTTGGGAGAATGGCAAATAAACAGCCCCATCAGAGAGGAATAAGTGACGTTGAAGAGAAGCTGCACAGTGTTGGGGACTGGAAACTCTGAATGCAGCCTGGATGAAAGGTGCAAGGCTTCCTCAAGGAGGCAACAAGGAAGATGAATCACAGATGTTTGGGCATTTCAGAAATTAGTGACTGGGGCACAGTTTTTTATGTGTCACTGTGCCCAGGGTAGGGCCACTCCAGAGGGAAATGAATAATAGCCTGAGGATTCTATTTACATTGAGGAGCGGGGGGCAGAGAAGTAGGGGGGCCCACCACTCATAGGATTCTGTATCCTGGCCCAGCATTAGTAGAGTTATCCTATCTGATTCCATGGAATAAGCAAGCCCACAGCCTGGGCATCAATTATAGATCTGTGTAAAAGCTACATATATGCAATATATGTATGAGTGTGTGGATATATATATATATATTTTTTTCATTTAGTACTCCCAGCATATATATCAGCATAATATTCGATATCCATTAACTTAGGGACACACTGTGGAATTTGAAACAGCTGAAGCTTGAAGTAGATCATATCCTTTCTTTCCAGTCTGTGTTGGATCATACATTACGATGAATAGAGGCAATTATAGGCAGATTCAATGACAGTGCTGCCATTTATTGGAGTATAATTCCTCTAGCCAATCAGTGCTCTAAGTAACAATAAATTATGTTAAACTTCCAATATTACTTGAGCGTGTCGAGGGCTATGGATCAATGAGTGTCTGATACTTGAAAAGCTTCAGCATTCAGTTCTTGTTGAATCTGTAATTAACAAATGAAACTAAACTAATCATAGTAAATTGTTCATTTGGCTACATTTTTGTTGTTGAGCACACTGAGTGCTGAGGAACAAGACTGTGAAGTGTTGCAGAGCATGGGCCTGCACCCTTCTATTTCAAGGTGCCCAACAGCAAATGAATGCATCTATCAAAGCATACGAATGGTGAGTTGCTGTGATAGAATGATTCATCCTTGCAGGATGCTGATTTATCTGGCTTGAACAGTATGTGTTAATAAGAGATTGTTTTATATTAAAAGGCAGAGTTTAATTTTGATAGATTGGCTAGCAATTTTCCAAGAAAATATCAGTAAACTGAGGGAGTTCTAAAAGTTGTGTGTGAAATGTGTGTGAAACAGGTAGAAAAAACTCCTGGTGGCTTATGTGAATCAAAATTTTTTCCACCTATTGTAAGTACCTTGGGAAAAAAAAAACCAGACATAAAAGACTTCAAAACTGCACAGTTTAGATTTAAAGACACAGTTATTGGTAGATTGTCCCACTCAATTATTTAGTCTTTTTAGCTTTTGTGCCTGAAAAATGACTTCATCTTGTAAAAGGCAATTTACATTAATCCCGGAATAGTGCTTAGGATCTTTAAATATTTCAGAGAAGGGCACGCACTGGTTCCCACATACCAGCACACTGTTTGTGATGTTCATTAAAAATATTAGGGACCACAATGTTCAGAAACTACTTAGCATAGTTTTGTTGTACTAGTTAACTATGCACCAGTGATGCTCAATTGGGTCTTAGCATTAATACACTCATAATATACAGTGCACTGCTTCCATATGGTGCATTGGGTAGAAGCATATTAAACATATTACACAAACAGAGCTCAACACCTCACATATTATTCATCAACAATGCACCAATTAGACAATACAATGGTCATGAAAATCAACATTGGCATATGTGCCCCAGGTCCAGATTAAAGTAGATGGATGGGGAGAAATGAAAATAGAAAAGGGGAGATAATTAAACAGGATGGCATAAGGCCGCATAGGTTAGACTGTTACAACAAACCCAAAGGCACAGTTTTTTATTGTCCTGAGGCACAGCACTGAAACCAATATTGTTTAAGCTCTAAGTGACTTATTAAGTAGACCTAGAAAATTTCTACTTTTAGGCTAGTGCTGACCAATAGAAATATAATGTGGGCCACAGATACAAGCCACATATGTGAGTTTGAATTGCAGCCATATTAAAAAGGAGTATAAAGAAACAGATGAAATTAATACATTTTATTTTTACTCAATGTATGCAAAATATTTCATAATGGTGTCTGTATAAAATTATTAATGCTATATTTAATATTTTTTACATACTAAGCCTTTGAAATCTGTTATATATTTTACACTTACAGTACATCTTAATACAGACTAACCACATTTCCAGTGCTCAGATTGGCTAGTGGCTCAGATTGATCAGTGGAGTTTTGGATTATTTCATTACAATTGTATCTTATCCTGCAGTTTATTTTATGCTCCTTTGGATAACTGGGGTTTTTTTTCTTAGAAGGCTGGGAGGGTGGGGTTGAATGTGTAAACTGCAGAGACAGAGCCACAGAATAGTCCAGGAACTTGCCCCAGGTCACACAATCTCTAAATGGCAGAATCACTCTCGGAGGTCTTTCCACCACATGACCTCCTCCTTCTAAAAGTCCATTCTTTGTATGTCCTGCCATATCCTTGTTTTCCATAAAAGCACAATTATGATCTATTAGCTAGTCAATTAATAATGATAACCCATTGTATTAGTCTATTATTGTATTGCTGTAAAGAAATAGCTGAGACTGGGTATTTCAGTCCATTTTCACACTGCTATAAAGACATTACCTGAGACTGGGTAATTTATAAAGGAAAGAGGTTTAATTGACTCACAGTTTCGCATGACAGGGGAGGCCCCTGAAAGTTACAATCATGGTGGAAGGAGAAGGGGAAGCAAGGCATGTCTTACATGGTGGCCCGGAGGGGAGAGAGCAGGGGAACTGCCACACTTGAAAACCATCAGATCTTGTGAGAACTCCCTCACAATCATGAGAGCAGCATGGGGGAAGCCACCCGCATGATCCAATCACCCCCCAACCAGGTCCTTCCCTTGACACTTGGGGATTACAATTCAAGATGAGATTTGAGTGGGGACACAGAGCCAAAGCATATCACTTGGCGATTTATAAAGAAAAGAGGTTTAATTGGCTCACTGTTCTGCAGGCGGTTCACACATGGCTTGGCTTCTGGGGGAGGCCTCAGGGAGCTTTTACTCATGGCAGAAGGCAAAGCAAGAGCAGGCACCTCACGTGGCAAAAGAAGGAGCAAGGGAGAGAGGGGAGGTGCCACACACTTAAACAACCAGATCTCATGAGAACTCATTCACTATGGCAAGTACAGCACCAAGCCATGAGGGATCTGCCCCCGTGACCTAAGTACCTCGTGAGATTTGGTGCTTTTTGTCAAATATCCAAACTATATCACCCAAAGAAAGCTACTCTCTAAAAACCTTAAAATAATGTCCCTTTGCTCTAACACTTAGGACCTCTTTCTACATTCTAGATGAACAGAATTTGAAAGCATTTTACAATGAGAGCAGGGGGTGGTATAGAAGAAAAATTAACTGCACCTGGACTCAGACAATCTGCATTCATATTCTGGTTTTGCCCTGCATTACCTGAGTGACAGTGAATGCTAAGCAGTCAGCCCTTCTGGGTCTCAGTGCCTTCATCTGTGAAATGGGAAGTCAGAGTGCCTGTCTGGCCTATTTCTGAAGATTGCTGCAAGTTTTGTGTAAGATCATATTTGTGTAAGGAATTGCTCAGTGAAAAGTACCAGGCAAATGGAAGAGTCTGTTGCTTTTCAAAAGAGAAACATTTAAAAATCCCGGTATGCCCCATATTTATTCATTTGTTTATTTGGTAATGACATCAATAATCTGTGAATTTACTCACCTTCAAAAAAAATTCAGCCATGACAGATAAGGCTAATATCATCTCAATATACCCCCAGCTCCGCCTGTCACTTGCTTAACTACCTACTGCTAGTTTGCTTGATACAAGCATTTAGTCAAAGAAAGAACATTTGTATTAAGGCCCAGTGCTAGATAGGAGACAAGCAATTGGTGCACACATAGTTTTGAATGGAAGGCTGAGCTGGTGACCCCAGGTAAGCAGAGGCCTCTCACCTCCACAACAGAAAACATTTGTGCCAATGGAATTGCTCCTGTGCTGCCACATATAACGTGTTTATTGTGTGTGTAAGGGTGTATGCATGTGTGTGTGCAGTGCCGAGGCTCAAGAATGAATTATGCACTGGTGGGTAAATCCAGTGGATCCACACAAGATGCAAAGGATAAACATGGCTCAAATTGAGTCCAAAAGAAAGAAGAAAAGCAAGCATTTTCTGTTTCATATTAATTGGTAGGATGTGGGCTGTAAAATCCTCTGTGGCAGTATTTGGTGTGCCGAGAATGTTTTCTTTATTCAATGAGGATAGTAGAGGAGAAGAAAAATCTGCCACTAAACACTATCATACCACCTTAAGTAGTACTAAAGATAATGATTCTAATGCAGATAGAGAAAGGAGCTGCTATGTCATCAATGATAGTAAGTTTTGTTTATGAAATATTAAAATATTAAACTGCAAGGCATTGTCCATTTTTATTCACTGTTCTTCAGAGAGCAAATGCAAAGTTACAGAAGAATTTTATTAAAAATAGCTTGCCTAGAAGAAGCATTGTTAACCAAATTACTATCACTGATATCATTTACATGTGTCATGTTTCAAAAGAAGACTGTGTTGTTTTAATTTGCTTTTTTAACACCACAACAAGGTCTCCAAACATTTAAATAAAACAGAAACAGTTCATTAGAACAGAAGAAAACTATCTGAATATACTGGTCACAACTTGCTTAAAGCATTTCTGACAGCAGCCCTCTGTTGAAGAGAAAATTGCACAAATTGCCAGTTATTATCATTTTTAATAAATAAGCCTTCTACCTTCTCCCTCCCTCCCTCCCTCTGGCTTCTGTGTGATTGTGTTCAACAAGCATATTTTCAGTGGCACCATTTCTATTACCAAGTGATTGAGCTCTGATTTACACATCAATTACCCACCTTCATGGAGATTTTCATGCTCCCCTAGCTGACATCAATGAAACATAACTGCGTAAACGCTTTATTTCATACCAGTTTTGGATAACTGAGACTGATAACTAATCATATCGAGAGACAACGTGCTATAATACACAAAACAATAAATATTTCCCTTTAAAAATCTCATCTATTCTTTATGAGTTAACCATTCACATGCTTATCTCAGTTGTCCATTTCTTCAAGGATCTTCCTGTCACTGCGTATCTCAAATGAAGTTAGGGTTTTACCCTAGAATACAAGCATTCGCAAAGGCCAAATTATCAGTTTCCAGCTTCCCCAAGGCGTAGAAATTCTTATTGTTTTCCTTCCAGTGTTGTAGATCTCTTGTTCACTCTTCCATGTTTGTCGCATGGGTTCATCTTTAATACCACTTCATTCATGTGTACTTGAATTAGCTGAAGTGTTCAAGTCCCAGCTGGAACACAGCTGGCTGATTTTGTTTCCTACCCCAAGCCAACCTGAGAGTGTTCCTATGGCACTTTCCTCATAAAGTTATAACATGTGTTACTCTGCACTGCAATTGTTTTGGAATGGATTTGCCTCTCCTGGGCTGTGAATTTCCCAAAAGCTTTTATTATGTCTTTTTTTTTTCTTTTTTTCTGAGCACTAAACATGGTACCTGGCATGACATAGATATCCAGTAAGTGTTTGTTGATTAAATAGACAAATTAATGTATTAATTAATATTTTGTCAACATTTGTCAGTGAACTTAGGTAGAAAAATATGTTAGCCTGTCATTTGTTCATTCATTCAGTTGAGAAATATTTATTTTGAGCTGAACACTGAGCTTGGCATGTTTCCAGATACATGGGAAGCAGAAATGCATTATTCCTCTCTAGTGACAGTTTCATTTAACACCCACAAGTTCTTTCAGACATAGCAGGAAAGGGGAGAAAGAAGAATGAGTTGGAAAGCCAAAGGAGAGTTGTGCTAGGTAGAGTAGAAGGGACAGGATTAGAATGAATCGAGTGCAATATAGAGTAAAAAAGACAAGGTCTAGATGATCTGCACACACTGTGAGGAGGCCTGGAGATTTCATTGTGAACCGGCTCAGAAATGCAGTCTGTAGGTGCATGCATTTGGTAGTTTGAAGTAAAGGTGTTGGCAGGGTTGGTTCCTTGTGACGAGTATTAGGAAGAATCTGCTAATTCTTCCTAATACCCCTGAAGTTTGAATGAAGTATGAAGTTTCTGGTAGTTTGTTGACAATATTTGGCATTCTTTGGCTTGTAGAAGTATCACTGTGATCTCTGCCTTTACCTTCACATAGAGTTCTCTCTGGGTTTCTGTTTTCACATCTTCTCCTCTTATAAGGATGCCAGTCTTATAGGATTAGGGGCCCGCCCTAGTCCAGTATGATTTTATTTTAACTAATTACATCTGAAATGACCCTGTTTCCAAATAATGTCATATTCTGAGGTACTGTGCATGAGAATCTCAACATAGGAATTGTGGGTTGATGCAATTTAACTCACAACAGGGTTACCCTGATTCTAGTCAGGCACCTTGTTAGGGCAAGAGGGAGAAGTGTAACCTAGGGAAGAGTCACACCTATAGGTCCACATGAGAAAGCAAGCCTACGGTCATAACAGTTTGCTGCTGCCCTACTTTCATACTCAGGCCGGGGCTCTGCAGGAGTGCATGGTAGAAGGAGGCAGGGCCAAAAGGTTAAGCCTATAGGGGGTAGAATTTGCCTGGGCAAAAATTAGTGAGTGCAAGTGGATCAAAGGGTTTGTTGAGATGTGAAAACAGAGTCAGCTTAAAATTGTCAATTATAAACTGCTCCTTAAGGGCATTAATTTCCTTAGTTTAAAAGTAATTAAGAATACTATTTCTGAGAAAATATTGTTTTAAATTAAGTAGTTATTGAAATTGCCTTGCTTATAGCTAAATGAAAATAAAACACCTTTTAAAAGTGTCACTTATGAGAAGCCAGAAGGTTATATTAAGACTTTGACTTGGAAAAGAATTCCTGATATTTAATGGGCCTAGAGAGGAAATACTTCAGGTAGCTTTTTCCTAATTTGAAAGACAGAGCTGATCTGTGTAAGTTGGCTGCAGAAGCAACTGGTATGGAACTTGGGACGTGGCGCATGGGATGAAGCCAGGACACATTGGGACAGGACAAGGGCTCATCAAGAGCAGAGGGCCAAGCTAAGCCTTGGGCCACTGAGCAGGGTACTATGCCTGCCTCACTAGGGCAGGCAGGCCTGAGGAAAGAGGAAAAGGAGGAGGTGAAGGAAGAGGAAAAGGAAGACCTCATCGATGACATCAACTGTGTACTCCTGAGCAGCACCACAGATTCCATAAACTGAACCTTGCCTCAAGCCAGAATTCAAATAAACCATGAAGTACTTTAGAGCCATCACAAGTATTCTAAGCTTGTCACTGCCTCTCTGCTTCCTTTCTCGTAAATCCACGGGACCATTTCTAGTTGTGGAAAGGATCCTCCTGAAGTAAATCAAGAATTAGATCTAGTAACTCTTTAAAGCTCAGCATTAGTATCAACTTTGATTAATTTAGATAGGGAATTATAAATGAGATTGGTTCAAGTTGACAGTAAAGAGTGAATGAAGAAATATTGGAAGAAACATGAAGAAACAGGAAATATATAAGAAATTGTTACCTCTGATTGGCAATGGGGAACAGGGTGGATGCTGACAAGAGTGGAAGTGGTAATGTTTTATATCAATTTGATATTTATGTACAGTAGTTTAAATTTTTGATCATATTCTAAAGTCATAAAATATAAATGAATACATTTGCTATATTCACTATCCGATTACATATTTGCTTGGTTTTTGACATCCATTCAAGGCCCCTACTAGTCTTCAGGAAGTATTTTTATAAGCTTCCAAGTCATTCAGTTGTTTGCAGCTCTCTTGGTTTGGCCATGTTGAGTGTGGGGCACTTGTAAGGCACTGGTTTCTGTTACAAACGGGTCAATGAGCCATATGAAGTGATAGTGAAGCCTCGTTTTTAATTAATAGGTCAGAACTAAAGTTATTTTAAAATGATTTTCTATAAAAATGGAAATCAGACATGTAATCTAAGAGCATGTTATTAGAGCAGAAAAGAAACTCAGGGATCCTTAGATATCTATTGTGCAATAGAGCTGTGGTAGGGTATGTGCATATGGAAGAGGACAAGGAAGTGCTTGACATGAGATTCAAGGAGATAAAATCAGACATTCCATAGTTGTAAAGGGATAACTGACACATTCTGAGCTGCTTGGGGGAGAAGCGAAGTAACATTTGTTGAGGAGATAGGCACCCCTCTCAAGCAGTCAGGGATATTGGACCATATCTCTTAGCCAACAGTTATAGTGTATGAGGACAAAAGAATTTAATTTCACTGGAGAGGTTGCTTTTAGAGGACATTTAATTGGCATACAAAGTGGTTGATATGCTGAATACTGCTGCAGGCAGATGGGAAACTTTGGCTTGCTAGAGTCATGGTCATTCTATATAAAAGTGGCATTTCCATTAAAATGGAATCCCCTGAAAATGGAGTTTTAGTGCACTCTTACAATATTTTTGACAATCAATATCCATTTGAGTGTCTACCTATGCTTGCTTTTCTGAGAAGAATGTAAACCATGCTCCAATAGCCCCTGAGAAGCCGAGATATTCTGAAGATAGTTAAGATTTTAGACATACCTTCTGGATCAATTGCACTGTGCACGTTGTGTGAGCAGAGCTTAAATATGTGGATGTGCCTCTCTGTGAATAGAGTGCCCTTCTCTTCTGTGAGTAAGACTAGAATCTTCTTTATGACCAAGAGGGTGGCCTCTGGATTCTGACAGCCCCAGCGGTTACTGTGTTTTTGTACCACTGACTAATTGTGTGGTGTTGAGCATGTTAACCTCCCTGTGTCTCATGTATCTCAGTTTCCTCATCCGCAAAATGAGGATGGTATACCACTTCAGAGTTTTTGTGAGGATTAAATAAGATAGTACTCATAAAAGTCCTGGAACAGTGGCTGGCATAAACAAGGAATCAACAGATAGGAACTATTAGTGTTATTGTTGTTCTTCTGCACAAGTCTATTCTTGTAATAACTGCTTTCACCTTCAAGGCACTTTTCCCAACATATACCAGCAATGTATGTTTCTACATAATAGAATAAATACATTAGTTCCCTAAAGGTGTTTGGTCCTTGATTTTCCTTCATGAAATGAAAAGACAAATGATCTCTTCAGGTTAAGTTTGTCAGATTTTGATATGCCCAAATGGGTCAAATAAAGAAATTTATCTATTAATATAAAGACCAGGAGTTATTTTCCATGTGATGCCTGGGACTCACACTGTGAGATCCAGATGCAGTTGGTCCAATGTATGCCCTGAGCCTGGAGATTTATAAAATCTTCTCTGGATGATTCTGATAGGCAGCCAAAATTGTGAACCAAGTGATAGAAGAAATATTTAGAAACATTTCCAATTTAAAGTTATTATTTTAAATTTCAGATCATTATTAATTTGTGAATTACATTTTTAAATTGACCAACTTAGTGTCTCTGTCTCAAAGGTCATATCTGAGTCTATAGAAGAAAATTTGTAAAGGATATCTAATGAAATTAACTTAATCTGTTACTAGAAAGACTTTAGACTTCAGCAACCATGAAATTTTGCTATGTTTTTACAGAGTAAAGAGGACCCAAAAGCTATAAAGAGATTTACATATCGCTTTATCAGGGTGTCAGTCATCTTATCTGTTAAATGTGAGCAGTCATTAGTAGTTTACAGAAGCCTTTTTTGATAACTATCATATGTAACCTTTACACTAACCATGCAGAGAAGACATAAAGTTAATTTTCATGTTCAAAGAAGGAAACTGAGGCTTTAAATGTAAAGCAATTTATTAATGAACAAGAAACTTGTAAGTGAAAGTGACAGAGCCTGTCCCAGATCATCTGAATCTGGATGCCATCTTTTTTGGACACACTGTAAAATTCCTTAAAGCTTTCTACCTGGGAACAAAAGAATCTGTTTCTTTGACTGGCATCAGGTTAGGTTTCTAGTAGGTTTTTACCACTCCTAAGTGTATTAAATTATCTTTGCAGCTTGAGTATTTGGTATTTGTTAGAGAGATGACAACGTCTTCTTGAGTGTTTGGTAGGCCAGTCAAAATAATTTTGTCCAAAGCCTAAGCCACACACTTTTTTTCAAAAAAGCAAATATGTTTTCCTTATGACATTTGCATTGTCCATTGCTTATTTATGTACAGAAAGGTTATTTGTGTTCAGTTGGAGGATGCAGTGACTTAAAAACCTCTGACCTTAAGGAGGGAAAAGTCTAATGGGAGACTTAGAGAATCCTGGTTAAATCATTAGAAGAAAACAAAATTGAGCCCTCTTAATGAGCACAGTATATCATAGGACCAGGAATATCCATACAGTGGAATATTATTTAACTATAAAAAGAAACGAAGTACTGACCCATGCTACAGTGTGGATGTACATTGAAAATAGTATGCTCAGTGAAAGAGGCCATGCACAAAAAACCACATGTTGCATAATTCCATGTATATGAAGTATCTAGAAGTGGCAAATTCATTCAGAGAGAAAGTAGATTAGTAGTTGCTTAGGGCTGGGCTGGATGGTAGGATTGCAGGACAGGATGATACCTAAAAGTGTACAGAGCCTCTTTTTGAGTTGATGAAAATATTCTAACATTAATATCATGGTGATGCTTTCAAGACTCTGTGAATATGCTAAAAACCACTGAATTGTACACTTTAAATGGGTGAAATTGTAGCTATATTAGTTATATCTCAATCAAGCTGTTATTAATGAAAAGAGAGGACTAGAAAAGAAGCAAAGCAGGGGATACAGAAACAAGTTAGGAGGGATGGCTCTTGGGAGGTCTGCCTGACTTAATTGGAGGAGGCTTAGACAGGCTTTGCAGATGGGCTGAATCTTTGCTTCCATTTTCAGAAATGGAGGGGATGAGGTAGTCCCAAGATGCTCCTACATTGAAATATTAAGCCTGTTTCTGCCAGGACCTCTGGACTATTGATGTCTACATAATTTTACAAACCACAGATTTAAAGGAAAATCAAAAACAAATTGGAATGATCAGATGGGCAGCTGTCTAGAGCTAAAAACTTGTGTGTTTCTCACCTTTTCATTCTCTTCTTGATTATTTTTCATGAGAGACAGTGTTTGCAGGGAGATAGTTCATTTGCTGAAGAGAGTGGTGGTATGCTGAGTTCCTCATGAGTCCTGACATTAAATATGGCTGAGGAGGTTCTACTGGTTTTAGAAATTCCTTTCCAAGGCCACTTACCTTCTATTCTTTTGCACACCTCCAGATCCAAGGTTCTTGTGTTTTTACTCTATATGTGTAAAATAATGATGGCCTGTTTTGAGCTGCTTTTATAGTTTTGAATTTAGCACTTTACATAATGTGGGTTAAGTTTGAAGGTATTGGATAGCAGAGATTTTCTTTTCTTAACAAAAAGAAGTTATGTAGAGATTAGATCAGTGTCAAATTCAAAATAGGACTCGGTATAGAAAAAGTATCACCTGACACTCTGGAACATATAACATGGATAAATATCTACACATGTTATAGAAGGCAGGGATTCATTCAGAAGAACCACAGGAAGTGAGTGATAGCTTATGTTTGTCCTTTGAGTGGATTAAATATGTATTTTTATGCTTTTGCAAAGATATTAGCCAAATAAAGGTGTTTACTGTAGTTGGACTGGAAAACAAGTGAGGCTGAATTATTTACCTTCATGTACACCATTACTACAGTAAATCATATATTAGCAGTATTTTAAAACAAATTTATCATTTTAAAATATCAATTTTTTATTCCCCAAGTGGCTTTGTAAAATAACCAAATTAGGTAAACAATGAGTATTAGCTTCATGAAATATATGAACCAAATGGACTGAAACTGGTTTTTACTCTCCCTCGCCCAGCCTCTTCCCCACAGATGCAGTTAATTTTTATAATCCCTTTAGGGTCTGTACATTTTGATATAAGGAAACTAGTGGTTTATCTATACTCGAATCTAAATTAAATCCCTAAAGTTTTTCCCTACTGCCAATTTCTAATAAAATGCAGTCCTAAGGAAAGGTGACCAATGGAGTGCATGTGAAACTCATCTTCATTCTGAAGTGTGATGGAAACACAGGAGGCAGAAGGGACAAACCATGTTGCTTGGGAATGTGAAAGCCTGAGTTCCAGCCTCCTAGTTCTCTGACAAACCCGCTGTGAGGCCCATTACCTTACCTTAGTTCTATTTCCTCATCTGTAAAATGAGGGCACTGCAACTAGATGATTGCTAAACTCTCTTCCTGTTATAAACAGTCTCTGTTGTAAAAGACTAGCCTGCATTGTCAGCCTGTGTGGGCTACCACTGTGCGCTAATGAAGACGGCATAATTGAACTTTCTAGATCTCACGGAATCTACATGTGCCCTGCATTTTATTGTCCCACCAATGAACCTGAGGCTTTTAATGAGCAAAATGAGAGTTATCTACATACAAGATAAGGTTCAAGTGTCTGAGAGAAGGAGAAGGCTAGGAGAAGATACTACATGTACTTGAAGATGGAAGAAACAGATTCAGATCTTCCTTTGCCACTAGCTTGATGACGGCTTGAGACAGCTCCCTCTGTTCATTTTTGGAGGGCCTTAGTTTCCTCTTTTGTAAATGAGGGCAGTTCCTCTGTTTGTGGTGGCTAGGGAAGCACACAGGTGGGTGAAATCACAGCTAATATAAAAATCCTGGGCTGGGTGCAGTGGCTCATGCCTGTAATCCCAGCACTTTGGGAGGCCGAGACGGGTGGATCACCTGAGGTCAGGAGTTGGAGACCAGCCTGGTCAACATGGCAAAACCCTACCTCTACTAAAAATACAAAAAATTAGCCAGGCGTGGTGGCTGGTGCCTGTAATCCCAGCTACTTGGGAGGCTGAGGCAGGAGAATCGCTTGAACCTGGGAGGTGGATGTTGCAGTGAGCTGAGATTGCGCCATTGCACTCCAGCCTGGTCGACAAGAGGGAAAACTCCGTCAAAAAAAAAAAAAAAAAAAAAAAAGAAAAGAAAAAAAATCCTATGATAGAGAGAAGCTTCTCACCATCATGCCTTACACCAAGGTGATTAACAAAGTAGTTAAATGGAACTTGTTCTTCTTTCTGACCTTTTCCAGTCAGCTAGCGTGGATATCAATGAAATAGCGATTCCAAAAAGGTAACCTGGAGAGAGAGAAACCTAAGGCCTTTGGTTAATTCATAGTAAATTTGGTTTTGAGTGGTCAGTTTTTATATTATCATAATGTGACCAATTTTATTATATCCAGGAGAAAAAAGTTGGAAAAATATCCTAACTTGCTAAGAGTGATGAATCCTTGAGTTGAGATTTTTGGCTTAACTTCTCAGTATGAACATGGGTTTTCATGCTGATTGATAGGATCAATTCATCCTGTCTTCATCACAGAATAAACTTGAATTGTTCATACCGATGATATGATGATTAATTCAGGTTTTTGGCTTGAGCATTTCTTTGTGGGCTATGGAGCTCTTTTTCCTTTGGAAAGCAGGCCTGGGTGTGTAAAGATGTATCAAATTATCAGGGGACAGACATATACTTTCCTGCAGCCTCTGCAGGGCTCACAGGTTCAAACACAACCTGCCTGAATCATAAGAAATTTAATTGAGTAGATAAAGAGGTCCTCATAATTATAAACTGCAGTAGGTATAACAAGAGGCTAAATACATAGCTGTGGTTTTAATTAGCTGGTGCTTCAAATTAGTAATGTTGGTTTCAGTCAGAAATCAGTGACGTTATAGACTGAAAGCCTCATCACCATGTAGTTCATTACTCATTAGACCTCACTGTGTGAAGCCTTCAATACAACGCCATGCTGAGCAAGAAAGGAAAAAGTTGGAGATATTTGGTTGCCTTCCAAGAGCAGTGGAGCTCTGTGGAGATTAAATTCATTCTCGCCAGAGATATGAGAATTAACTGTTCTTTGTCGGATGTGTTAAAAAATGCAGCAGGCAGTTTTGCTTGCAACAGATAACACCCGCATGCACACTCAATCTGCTATTCAAATTTGTGTCTGGAATTTGGTAGCTAATGAACTGATGCAAAATGCAGCCAAGAGCCTCCTAACAAATCAAAGCCAGGGCTAAAGCACCGAAAGTGCCCTTACTGCTGATCGTTTGAAAGGTTGTCATGCAAGCTGAAGCACGTTTCCTTTTCTTCTCCTTCTCCTTTCTTTTTCCTTCAGGGTTTTAATTATATCTTTCCCTCGGAGAAGGAAGGTAGTTTGCAAAGCCAAGAGACCAAAGCACTTCAGTTCTCTTCATGGGAGAATTAAATGTGATCTATGGGCCTGTCATTCTTAGCTGTCAGGTGCACAAAATGAACAGATAGCTAGAAAACTGACATCCTGCTCGCATTACTCAGAAGGAAAAGACTTTGGTTCTTGTTTGTGTGTAGATACTAATCTGCTATGGAAAGCAAAGAAATTAAGTGTCCTTCTCCTTTGCAACAACCCTGCCCTCACTAAATATTGCTTTAACTTGTTACTCTACCCCCACCCCCATAACACCCAATCTTTCTTACATTTGGATAAATTGATGGGATTGGATTACACACAGCCAATTTATGGTGTTGAGGTACGGTCACAAGCGCCACACTTAACGGACTGAAGATGTTACTGTGCCTGATTGTTTCCATGTCAGTCTCAAACATGGAGACATTGAGACACACAACAATTGTTTGGGGTTCTGAGTTCAACTTGTGAATGGAAATGAAAGATGATGCTAGAAAATCTAATACCTATGGAGGGCATCTGAGACTACAAATAATAGCCTGGCTTCCAGTATCTGGACTTGATATCTTCCTTGACCAGGCAAGGCCTAGATATGGGGCCCTGGCTTTGGGTAGGACTCTGAAGGTTTTCTTTGCTTTACTCAGACAGTGATAACATTTGCTGAATATACTCATGAATGGTCCAGTGAGCTTTAATGTATCTGACGTTTGTATTATGAAAGTGTAATGTGCATTTAAACATCCTATAAATGTTGTTGCTGTTTTTTAATGGAGAAATGAGTGTTCTTTATCCAGGAGATAAAGTTATCAAAGTCACTTTGAATTTGACCATTCAAGGATTCCTGTGAAGAAAAGTGGATGATTAAGTGTAGTGGCATTGTACACTCCATGTTTATCAACATCTAGTTAAGCTGCACAGATAGTTTATGTTCTAGGTTCTTTGAGCAAACTAGCCTACCAATGACAGGTATTAAGGTTTCGGATATAGTCAAAGCCTGTCAACTGTAGTTTTATATCAGTAGATCTCTTATAATTCCTTTAGCTATTATGTTCATTTGCATGTCAATTATCTAATTAAGTCTTAACATGGGACTATTAACATGGGGAAGGAAACCAACATTTATCCAACACCTGCTAGGCATTTTATGTACATTTATGTAATTTAAATTTGCTCAGTGTATATATACTCACTTTGGGTAAGGTTAACATCAAAAGCATGAAAAAAGCCCAGTGAATAAAATAAGATACACCACTACGAGACTTAGATTATGGCTTAATTTGCAGTCTTGCATGATGAAGAAAATAATTGTTTTCTTAATAAGGAAGCATTCCATTCCATAAAACCAGAAGGCCTGGAATATATCTTAAATATTGTTTAGAAGCTTTTGATCCTCCAATGGGAAAGCCTGAAATGTGATGAGAGTCACAGTTAGTCTTTATAAAACATTTGTTCGTTGAGGTCATTAAAGGCTTTTGACACCTCCTTTTTTTCATCCACAGTTAGTCATTTGTTATTCAAGTCAGACCCCTTTTTTTGTGAAGAGTTTCTCAAAAAGGCTTCCATTCACTTTTGAAGAAAACTGTGAGAAGACCAACACCACAACAACCAAACACAAAGAAGTGTAGGTGATTTGGTGATTTATTTTTTTGTGGACTTCTGAAAATGCCCTTAAATTCTCCTGTGAGTTCATCAAAACAAGCTCACTTTGGCTATGGGCTCAGGACAGAAATCCAATTTATCTTCAGCTCCGTACTTTGATAATTCCTTTCCCTTAGGACTTTGTGACATCTGTGGATTCTGAGCCCTAGGTAGTTGGCAACACAATGTAACTTTAATTCAGTACCTTTCTGCACTGTGGGCTGACTTTTGGGGAGTATGTAATTGCTTATAATAATCAAAAAAGGACAAGGGAAGAGATTTTGCTTTACTTGCTTGTCATGAATATCATTTCAAATAAGCAAGTTTTTGTTTTCTTCTTTATTCTGAAGAGCTGGTCAGGATCTTAAACTCAATAGGTGTAATGAAAAGGATTATCTGTTCTCTATGCAGTGTCAACTTGGGCAGCAAGTTGACTTGAATTTTTTTCTTATTATTGACAGCAAGGAAAATTTAAATGACTTGCATGATTAATTAATCTTTTTCTCTTTTTGTCTTTTCCTTTTCATATCAGTCACTATGAACAAGACCGTAGTGCACTTAAAAAAAGGGAATGGGAGCGGAGGAATCAAGAAGTCCAGCAAGAAGACGATCTCTTTTCTTCAGGCTTTGATCTTTTTGGGGAGCCATACAAGGTAGCTGAATATGTATGTAATTTTTCTTTCTGGAAAATGGTTGCTTGTTACATTTTTGAACTCACTAATCAACATTTAATTTATGTTTAAAGCACCCAACTCATTTCCAGGGGAATATATTTTACAAGTGAAATTTGTACATACACTGTATTTGAGGCAACTGCAAGTTTCTGACGAAGTCTTCAGAAACAAATTTCATCTTCTTTTGGGAGCACAGTATGATTGAAGAGAGACTTGTGAGACTTCCTGTCTCCAATGAGCCCCTCTCTGCCCAACACTTCCTACAGCAAGGAATGCCCCCTTGACACTTTCTACTGCTGTGATTGTCAGTAGGCAGCTCCTGAAGACTTCATCAGAATGTCAATGGAGATGTCTGTTTCTTTTCCCAATCAGTGTCATCCATTGCAAGGCCACTGTTTTTCTTTTCCATTTTAGGTTGTTAGCAGCTCTTCAGTGGTTTGAGTGCTCTTTGAAAATCATTGTTCTAGAATAAAGGAAAAAAGCCAATCATTTTTCCTGGTGGTTAATAATCATGGGTTAGAAGATTGTCTCAACCAGAGGGGGGTAGTATAGCTAGGTTGAATTTCTAGTGGTATTCTGACTAGTGTGTAGCTCCAATAATCATCAAACTGCTGTGTCTACAAGTATTGATTTTACAATGACTGCTTCTGAACTTTCTATTTGGGGTAGAGATGAGAGGCGACTGGGAAGAGATTATGATGGAAGAATCTTATTGAATTGCTGGCAGCTGGTTGGTTTTTATTGAAATGCAGTAGCAGTGTAATTTTCTGTAATAAAAATGATGTAAGAAGTACAACAATAGAGAAAATTTTCAAGAGCTGTGATTTTAGAAGAGTACCCTTTAAGGGACAGTGACTTCTGGAAAAGGAAAGTTCTTAAGGAAGACAGCATAGGCCCAAATACTACTTTGGGGTAGAGAGTAAGCTATTTGGATTGGTGACTGGTGAGACCAGGTTCTTGTTACCTTGTTCAAAGCAAGTAAGCAACTCTTGATTGAGACACTGCAGGAACTTTCAAGTTTGGTAAGCCTGATGAAGAAACTTAGGTCACCTAAGCTACTGGTTTTCAATCTGTCAGTAATAGTATGATCCCTAAAAAAGCAGTGTTCCCATATCAACAGGTTAATTTGTATACTACTTTGAAGGTATATATTTAGATATATAATTGGTTTAACAAACATTTATGAAGGTCTACTATGTGCTAGTCACTGCCTTACACCAGTGTACAAAGAGGAATAGCATAGTCTCTGTTTTCAAGGAGTTCCTAGTCGAGTGGCAGAGATCATTTGACACAGTGATGGCATGCCTGCATGGTAACAGAGAGATAGCAAGGGACAGATCAGCGAAGACTTTGTATTCAAACTCATTATAAAGAGCTTGCACATAATTTTTTACATGATGAAAAAAATCATTACAAATATTTAAGTCATAGTATGGCCAGGAAAAATGAACAGTTTAGAATGATGATGTTGGGCAGTGTGGACAGTGGGTCAGAGGGAGGGGAAACTAAGGAAAGATAAAGAAGCTATTGTAATTGATGAGGGGAGCTTATGTCAGGAATGATTTAAGGTAGAGTAAGGAAGTTGAAATTATGGAATTGGGTATCTAATTGCATGTGGGGAGTATGGAATAAGAATTAATGGTTCCCAAGTTTTTTATTTGAGAGGGTGGTGGTATCATGAACAAGTTTTGTTCAGGAGGAGAACATGGTTGCTGCTTGTAGAGAAAAAACAATTAATTTAGTTTTGAGTGCGTTGGCTTTGAGATGCTAGAGAGATATCAGGAGAGAGCTATCCAGAAGGCTTGGATATATGGGTCTGAAACTCATGGGAGTGGTCAAGGGAGAAGTTTAGCTGTTATTGTCTTATAGGTATCAGTGGAAGCTGTGAGAATGCCTACCATCACTGAAGAGATTATGGAGTAAAAAAGAGGACAAACAATTCTTGGGAGTAGCACCATTTAAGGGGTAAAAGAGGTGGTGAAAGCAGAGGCCAGGAAAGGAAACTCCAAAGGAATGATCAGAGTGATAGGAAGAGAACTAGGAAAGAAAATTTAATAGAAACCTAGGGAACAAAGGAAGGATTTGCTGTGCCTCAGAGAGGTCAGGAAAGGTAAGAACTTTAAAGTGGCTGTTTGGATTTGGCAGTTAAGGAGTAATTGGTGACCTTATGGAGAGTTGTTTTATTTGTTGATGACAATGGTCATTGTGGGATGCCAAACTGCCAGGGGTTGGAGAATAAATGGGAAGTGGTTAAGTAAAGAAAGCGAGACAGTCAATGTAGATATGATCTTGAAGAAATGTTTTGCATGGAGGAAAAAAGAAAGAAAGATAAGTTAGAAAGTAAAGGGAGGAATTATATAAAGGGAAGCTTTTTAGAAAAATGAGATAAACGTGAACATGTTTAGAGATTGATGGGAAGCAAATAACTTCAATGGTGAATGAGAAGGTGGAAGATACAGGAGAGAAAGGTGAGGCTAAGTTGAGCAAGGTCCCGGAGGAGATTAAAAATAATACAAGATGGAGAGCAGTTGAGGAATCATGAGCTATAGGGTAGAAGGTGGGAACAGAACATTAGAATGAGAACAAAGCAGGCGAGGGGAAGGAAGATTGGGGAAGTGCAAGAAATCAGGGCCTCCATTTTCTGCAGAAAATGGAGGAGAGGTCAAAGCACGGTAAGTGTCTTATCCTTTCTCAAGCTGAAGAAGGAATAAGGAGATAAGTTTTACATGTTATCTTTGGATGGGTTAGAAAAATGAGCTTTACTCAAAAGGTTTATTCTTAAAATCCAATGTCCACACTATCCTCAACATTATAATGAGGTGGAGAACTCTTGATTTATTCTCCCTTCATAATTTTAAGTCACGATGAATTGATGGTCTTGTACCTTTAAGGTAAATGCCATCTTTTCACAAGGCCTGTTATATAGATCCATTTTTTAAATGTTAGCAGTGTCTTTTTGAGTAGGCAGTTGAAAAAAATCTGTTATCAACATTTTCAGAAGTTTTGAAAGCCATCTGTCTTGATATTACAAGGGTACATCAAGTAGAGACATAGATGGGAACATTTAGTATAGTGTGGGGCAGGGCCTATTGTGTGATTAGTAGCTTGTTACCTTTGTGCTTCCTGATGGGGAAAAACCTTGTCCTTTTTTTTTTTTTTTCTGAGATGGAGTCTCGCTCTATCGCCCAGTCTAGAGTGCAGTGCGACTTACTGCAGCCTCTGCCTCCCATGTTCAAGTGATTCTCCTGCCTCAGCCTCCCAAGTATCTGGAATTACAGGTGTGCACCACCATGTCCGACTAATTTTTGTATTCTTAGTAGAGATGGGGTTTCACCATGTTGGCAAGGCTGGTCTCAAACTCCTGGCCTCAGGTGATTGCCCACCTTGACCTCCCAAAGTGCTGGGATTACAGGCGTGAGCCACTGCGCCTGGCCAAAACCTTTGTTCTTAAGTCAAAACTGTGAAGGAAAAGAATAATGCTAGTGATTGGTGACCTAATAATTATTTTTCTTTCACCCTTGCTTTGATGATTGGTTGTTATCTTGAGCTGCATCCACATTCAGGGTTCCCTGGGAGAACACTGAGGAGTAACAGAGTACTAGAACTGATGTTGCACCTCCATAAGGCTCCCCAGACCAAGACTGGGCTTGATATCCTTGGAGTATCTGGACATGCCAGTGGTCATGGGAGTCCTAGAGCTGGCCCATGGTCCACTGGTAGAAACGAGGACATACCACAGCTCTTCCCTAAGATAGCAGTGGGAGTGCTTATCAAATTTAGAATAAACATTCCTGATGGTGGGTCAAGACTTTCAGGAAAGTTCTTGCTACCCTGAAGCCTAAAACAAGGTCCAGTCACCTGTCCAATAGCGCCAGTGGTTCATAAATTAGCCAACATGAACACTGATCTCTAGGACCTATTATCCTTTCTTGGCAGAAAGATAAATGGTGATCTCTCATGTTCCTGGCTAATTTCTTTCCCTTCTTTTCTTTGCCTCTACCACTGCCAGAATGGAGAGAATGTTGACCACCCCTAGATTTGGTTGGTAATAGGGAACTTCTCTCTTGGGCTGCTTTTGTAGCATATGATTTTCAAATTGGAGTTTGTGTTATGCTTTTGAGAAGGATGTCTTCAAATGTGCCTGAAAAATATGAAGCCATTTGACTTGTCTAGGTTAGTGCACTAAGTTTGGTAAGGAACTGGCATGTAACAAGTGCATGCCAGCTTACTGTCTGCTAGGCACTGTGCTAGAGTTTTATGTGTATGCTCATTTAGTCCTTATAACAATGTGTGTGTTCATTTAGTCCTTATAACAACTGGGGTATGCAACTTTCCCATGTTTTCCATGAGGAATTTTTTTTTTTTTTTTTTTTTTTTGAGACGGAGTCTCGCTCTGTCGCCCAGGCTGGAGTGCAGTGGCGGGATCTCGGCTCACTGCAAGCTCCGCCTCCCGGGTTCACGCCATTCTCCTGCCTCAGCCTCCCAAGTAGCTGGGACTACAGGCGCCCGCCACTACGCCCGGCTAATTTTTTGTATTTTTTAGTAGAGACGGGGTTTCACCGTTTTAGCCGGGATGGTCTCGATCTCCTGACCTCGTGATCCGCCCGCCTCGGCCTCCCAAAGTGCTGGGATTACAGGCGTGAGCCACCGCGCCCGGCCGAGGAATTTTAACTCAGAGAAGCGAGATGGCTTCTTTGCATTTTCATATCCTTATACATGGCGAATTTAGACCTTGCATCCAGTTCTGTATGATTCCGTATCTGTAACAGGAAGTTATTTATCCTCTGACAGGATGTCAGAATACTTGATAAGCTTACCTGCTGGGTGATGGTGGAGAAGAAACTCCCTTTCTCTGATCCATAGGTTTTCTTTTTCCTTTCTGGATTGAATCATAGTAATTAATAAGAATAGTAATATTTTATGGCTCTTCATAGCCCAATGAGAATGAGGAAACTGAGGTGCACAGAGGATTATTAAATGGCTTACCCAAGGTCATTTGTGTTGGGACACATAGAGGTAGAGGCCAGATGGAGGCCAGAGCTACTCTGCTGACTCACATGGTTGTTTTAAGGATCACATGAAATAACCTGGGAAACCTTGCTTTGAAATCTGTAAGGTGCTACACAAATTCAGGTATTATCTTTATTATAATTAGAGTAAAGAAGGAAATAGAAACTTAGAGCTTAGAGAGATTAACTGCAAAAATACTAGAATTAGAAAAAGACAAATTACTAAATCACATGTTAGCCACAATAAAATAAAAGAAAAAAATGCGCTTCAAAACTTGAATTATTTTGCTACTTGTATTAAAAAGAAATACTATGGTACAATAGCCTCCTAGCACATTAGTCTTGCATGCAATGAAATTATACTACTGATTTGTAGATAGCATTAGAAACAAACTGAGGGAAGTTTGCATTTCCTGAAGTAATGAGAGGCAAAAAAACTTAAATGAGGGAATGCTGTTAGTCATGAGCCACAAACCAGACATGTAATTTATGCCTGAAAATACTTGGAAAATGCATTTCCTGATGATAGAGAAATTGTGATTGCTTAGAAAATAATGGCTGCAGAGGTTACCTTTAAAGAATCAACCAATTATCTAGACCAGGAAGTAAATAATTAGCCAAATTGAAAGAAGCATATAATTGATTGAAATGGCTGAATTTCATTTTTGTCATGTTTATAATGTTCAATCAAGATTACCAAGAATATTTTGTTCCTTAATAGGATTACTAAGACTCTGGAGGGTGAAAAAGAACATTTAGTATGAATCAGAAGTTGCTATGGTGTATAATGAGAGTACATTGTGTAGGTGTGTATAAATGTATTTCAGGCCCCATTGGGTTTTCTATCCAGTGGTTCTCATATCTCCATCTTGAGAAATTTAAAAGCTGATTGACAGTTACCCACCTCCAGTGGTGGGAAGGTAGAGTGCTTACTCTGGCGACCTGGACTGGACTACTAATTATGTGCTGATTGTTGAATGGTGAACTTCTTGAGGCTCTGTGTCCATGTGTCCTCTGTGCGTAACCCTGCCTCAGGAGGGTCTCAAATTTACCAGTGTCTGTCTTAAGAACTACTACAATAATTCCTACTTGTAGCCACAGAACATCTGTTATGCAAACCATATGGATCTTCCTTCAATCAGCAACTCAGAAAGCATCACCAGTGAACTCAACCTTGAACTGTGTGCTATACATTTCCTGTCACACGTCCTTCCTTCTGAGACAATTGCTCTATGAGGAAACTAGTCTAAGGGAGATGACATCCCTCTATTTCTCCAGGTTATCACAGCTTCACTCCTGTGTCATTACTGTGCAAGAAAGCTGCACGCCTGGATTGTATTAGCCTAGACCTCTAAGTCCACATGCAGGCAGGCTTTCACTGAGTTAGTCATCATAAGAAAAAGCCACATGAAGACATATTTGCATCATTTTGGAAAATGAGGCCCCAAAAAGTGTTACATTGCTCAAGTGTTCTTGTAAAAATATCAGTGAGAGGAATTCCTTTTCACATTTTATTATCAGACAACATTTGTCTCATTTAATGAATTAGGATATGCTTCTTTCGATGAAAGATAATTCTATAACCTACGAGCTTTTCCTTTTTGCCTTAGCTACCAGGAAACTCAAAGTTCAATTTAATGTTCAATCATAGTAACGAAGTTAGCCTGATTTTTGCCTTCTATTATGTACCTTTGACTTCAGCCATTGCAAATTCTTTATTTTGATATAGACAGGGTATGAATTTTAATTTATCCTGTTCAATTCTGTAAAAATGTATTGAGTATTTGATTAGCACAAGACATGGTGCTACATCTTGGGTATATAAAAATAAGTGAAATGTAGTCTCTGACCTTTAAGAACTCATGGTTTTATTCAAGGAAAGATATCATAAGTGTAGTATACACTGTGTAGTAGAAGGTTGATTTTCCAGACTTATTGAGAGAAATTTCAATTTTCCTCTAATTTTGTTCACATAGACACAGTGTTAGACATTGGCCAGTTTAGAAATTCTTTTAATTTCAAGTATATTTTTAAAACCTAGATATGGAAAACTATATCTAAGCTTGCTTCAGAAACCCAGATCATTATAAGTAAATGTCAATGAAGAGACATTACAAAGTAGGCAAGGTTCTCCCTACTGAGGACAAGATGAACCTCTTTTATTTACTCCTGAAACAAGAACAGGAATTTGACTAGCTTGCTTGTAAGCAAATGAGCTTTCACATTCTTGAGTCCTGATTGTGTTTCCCTAAGGAGACTACAATGACTTTTCAGGGCATGGAGGTATTACAGTGGTCTCTATGACACCTAGGGAGAAGGTTCTGATTTTGCAGAGCTCTGTTTCTGTGAAAGCCAGATAATGAAATGAAGGCATTCCAATGGGAAGTGAAATGGTGTTGTTTTCCCTTGTTGAGTCAGATCATTGAATATGGCCAGATATCACTGTTCATGAGGCAAACATCTGACCCAAGAGGTAATCTGTTTGACAGGCCAAAACAACCTACAAATGTTTAAAGCTTGCATCAGATTCTTGTTGGACCCTCAGCACAATGAAATTTCTTTGTTTTAAATTTAGAGATTGAACAGGGAGCCTGGTTTTGGCTACTGTCCATGTGGTTCATTGTGCAACTCAGTTGAAGGAGACCACTATATACAAAGAGTTTATTCTTGTCTGGGCTAAAAAGTAATTCCTGCCATTAAAAATGACAAACCTAGAGACTTTTAGGAAATAAAAGTGACTTCTACCCATCTATAACTTTTAAATATATCTTTCAGATGTACTTTTGAAAACAGAGTGATTATTCAGCTGAGGATTATACAGAATGTTAATTGTTTAATCACTACTTCAGTACTAAGGTTGCGTATGATACAATATATGATTGGAGGATAAGCAAACTAAAATTGACATATAGTTATTTGACTTCTAAAAATATCTGTCCCTGACAGAGCTCCCTTAGCATATGTTTAGCATACTTTTCCTTAATCTTTGAAATTTATATTTCTCCTATTGCCCTCATTTCTTTGGAAGTGTCTCATATGGTTTCACACACACATAGTATGAGTTAAATACTTTTTACGGTATATGGAGATGGTGCTGATAATGAGGCCAAGATTACTGGTTTGATTCTCTCTCTGTTCCTTCTTGGTATCGTTTGCTGGTTCCTCATCTTCTCTCAGTCTCTTAAAGGTTGATGCTTGCCAGGGTTCTCTGCCAATCCGTATCTTCTCATTCTATGTTTTCTTTCCCCAGACGACTTCACCCATTTCTAGCACTTCGCCCTCTAGCCATCTGCATATCCTCCCATCTTCACATACAAAGGAAAACACACAGCCTTAGACTGAGATGCTAGCGCTGGATAGGTATACTCCCTGTGTACACTAGGAGACTGGGCTGTGTTAAGGGCATGTGAAAAATCTTAGATGTTAAACAACTATCTTCAGCAGAGAGTGTACCAATGGTTAGATGGTCACTCCCTCCTGTGCACTGAAAATGTGCCCATGGCTTCTGGGACTTGAAGGCCACATAGGGTGGTATTTTTCCCATCCAGTGGCCCAGTTGCCAGATGGCTCCTTGAATACTGGTAGCCTTCTATCATTGCAACATCTTGGGCCAGGATAGTGCAGCCTAGGTACAAAAAGGTCCTTTGGCTTTCTGAATTCAGCAGCTTGTTTTGATAAACTCTTTGGCATATAAAGAGAATAAAGAAAGTCACTTTTGGGGGTGATCAACTGAGCTTTCATCAAAGTCATTTCCAAGTATACAGCTACCCACCATTTTTTAGTCATGATAACTTTGCTTTCTGTATTACAAAAACCCATGCAGGAGCATAATTATTTTAAAAACAATCACAGCCATTTTAATAGAACCAATACATCCTACAGGGGGTGGTGTAGCTGGTATACTGATTGTCCATAAAATGAGTTGGTTGCCTCTCTAACTGCTATACATTAGGCTAACATCACTTTGAAAAGATAACTTTGTTTTGGTTTCCTTAAACAACAGTTTAAATACTTGAATAAATTTTCCTTAATCATTGAAAAGACACAGAAGGGCTTGAGTCACTGTTGATGAACAATTGCATCATTTCAAAGTAAATGAGTATGAATCATCAATATGTAAACACAGTCATTCCAGAATATACAGGCAAACACTAGTAATTCATACAGTTCTTTGATTAGAAGGAATCAGATTCATTTTAATCATGAGTTAGCTCAATTAGATGCTGTTTAATTCCATTCCTGTCCTAAACTTATTATAGTCATGGTAGCACAATTTAACTGATTTTCTTATCCAATAGCCTAAGCCTTTTTCATGGTATAATGTGGTGCAAAGGCTGATATGTCAAAAATTTATATAGGTAGAAAATTCCATTATAACTCCAATGATTGGTAAGCAGAAGTTGTTAATCACAATGTAGAATGTAGCAATTCAGCTCATCTGTCACAGAATAAGTTATTTTTCTAATAAAATTAATAAATGATGTAATTTAAAAGTTTTTCTCAATGAACATGTTTAAGGACTGGCTAGGGAGTATAAAAATGTTAATCATACCCGCTCATTCCAGAAGCTTTTTCAATAGTGTTCTTGATTTTTTTTCTTACATAGCACATGAAAAGCATGAAATTATATGGCAGCAAGACATATTTAAAGAATCCCGTATGATAGTCTACTTAGGGCATCTGTTTGAAACATTAACATTAGGAAACACAAACCTATTCATTCTCTCTCCTCCCACCCCCATCTTTTTGTTATTTTAGACAAACAAAGGTGATGCACTTGCCAACCGAGTCCAGAACACGCTTGGAAACTATGATGAAATGAAGAATTTGCTAACTAACCATTCTAATCAGAATCACCTAGTGGGAATTCCAAAGAATTCTGTGCCCCAGAATCCCAACAACAAAAATGAACCAAGCTTTTTTCCAGAACAAAAGAACAGAATAATTCCACCTCACCAGGATAATACCCATCCTTCAGCACCAATGCCTCCACCTTCTGTTGTGATACTGAATTCAACTCTAATACACAGCAACAGAAAATCAAAACCTGAGTGGTCACGTGATAGTCATAACCCTAGCACTGTACTGGCAAGCCAGGCCAGTGGTCAGCCAAACAAGATGCAGACTTTGACACAGGACCAGTCTCAAGCCAAACTGGAAGACTTCTTTGTCTACCCAGCTGAACAGCCCCAGATTGGAGAAGTTGAAGAGTCAAACCCATCTGCAAAGGAAGACAGTAACCCTAATTCTAGTGGAGAAGATGCTTTCAAAGAAATCTTTCAATCCAATTCACCGGAAGAATCTGAATTCGCCGTGCAAGCGCCTGGGTCTCCCCTAGTGGCTTCCTCTTTATTAGCTCCTAGCAGTGGCCTTTCAGTTCAAAACTTCCCACCAGGGCTTTACTGCAAAACAAGCATGGGGCAGCAAAAGCCAACTGCATACGTCAGACCCATGGATGGCCAGGACCAGGCACCGGACATCTCACCAACACTGAAACCTTCAATTGAATTTGAGAACAGCTTTGGGAATCTGTCATTTGGAACACTCTTGGATGGAAAACCCAGTGCAGCCAGTTCAAAGACTAAACTGCCAAAGTTCACCATCCTCCAAACAAGTGAAGTAAGTAATTTTTAAAGTTTTGTTTGGTTTCACTTTTTTTTAGTTCTCTGCTCTAACCTCTATAATCCAGTATTCACAAGCAGCTCTCATTTACCTTAATGAGCTGTATAGGATACTCTTCAAGTTCAGGGTCTGAATTTTGATCTTCTGTCACTTGTGACATAACTGATTAACACGCTGCAAATAGAGTTAAATCTCAATAATTTGGAATGACAGAAGACAAGGTCGGTCTGACTGAAAGAATGACAAGTTGGAGTTATAAAATAGTTTCATAAAATACAGTTGTGGTAATACTATGTATAAATTAATAACATTTGAGATTATAATTGGTCATAAGTAGTATGAGGTTCATGAGAAGATTGCGAGTCACTATATGCCTTCACTACTCAGTAGCATATTCTAAACCTAAAATACAGAAGTTCCTTAAAGTAGAAGAATGTAGAACTGTGGTTTGCTGGAACCTGAAGTAGAAGGCGTTCTTTAAGAATTTTAGTTTCTTGAGTGATTACAGAGCTATTCCTTGGCAAGATCTTAATGTTTTCTCCCGTATCCATCAATCTTCCCTTCTGCATCTCCTTCCTCCACAGGTATCTACATAGCCCTTTTATTCTACTTTCATCCTTTCTGTCAAAGCAAAAAGCATTACGAGCAACCAAAAGCCCACTGGTTTAGAATGAGTAAATATCCTACCCATCTCAGGAATCATTGCCTTGTAAAAGAGAAGTCCAGAGGCACCAAAGCCTCTTCTAAGGAATGAATCGCTAATGATTGGATTCCAGGCCTTGTGGCCCCTGGGTGGGGGTCATGCATGGTGCTGCCTCTCAGACACTACCATGTAAGCGGCTGTCTACTGCACCTCAAGCGTTTGATTGGAAGAAGCCACTGCCTTTAGATTGGATTCCTGTCACTGGTGACTAAAGGCTTGAAATAACACAGAGGAAGAAAGTAGGGTTAAATTCTTACTCAATAGGAGTGACAGGCAGTCTGTCTGAATGGTTGTAGATTCCAAGTTAGTGGTATCTGAGTTAGAGAAGTGTGACCCTATAAGCACCCTGGCTCTCCTTCCTTTATTTATCCTCAGCAGATGCGGTGATTTCAGAGGACGATGGGAACATAAAGGGAGGGAGGCCTGGGGCTGTTGACTATATTTTCTGAATGTATGTTTTTAATATTGTTTCATTTCTGAGGCAGTTTTGCTTTTTGTATCATCATTCATCAAGTCTTGTCAAGCTTCCTCTTAAGTATCTCTCCAGTCTGTCATCTCTACCCCCACTGCCTTTGAACCACCTGTGAGCCTTCAGTGGACTGCTGTGAGAGCCCCTCTTGACTGGTCTCCTTCCCTCTAGTCTCACCTCTCTTCCATACCATCCATGCAGGCTCATCTAACAGGCAGATCTGACCATGTCACTCCCTGCTTTTGATTATTCAGTACCTTCTCATCACTTCCAGGGAAAAGTCCAAATTTCTTAGTCACACATACAAGGCTCTTCACCCTTTAGTTTCATACTCCTTTTTTGGCCACATATTTCACTACTTCTTCATGTGCAGTTGAAATCCCAGCCATATGGGACTACCTGTGGTTCCCTGTCATGTCATGCTTTATCACGCTTCCTTGCTTTTTGGCTTGCTGTCCCCTCAGCCTAGAATGTCTTTCCCCACCCTCCCTTGTCTTCCTGGTAAAGTCCTGTTTCTCCTTCAGGTCTGGTCAGTTGTCACCTTCTCTGTGAAAGCTTCCCTGATCCCCTCAGCTTAATTAAAAACCCCTTTGTCTTGGCTCCTCTAGCACCTTCTATATGCCCTGATTGGCACCGACTCCATTGTATTGTAGTGATTTAGTTATGTTTCTATCTCCTCTACTAGACTGTGAGCTCACTAAGAGCAAGGAATACCTCATTCTCTCTGTATCCCAAGCGCCTAGCAAATACTTAGCACATAGTAGATACTCAATAAATGTTTGTTGAATGAATGAATTTCAAAAATGGTTACTTGATTACATTTTCTAAGCCACAATGTTAATCAAATAACATGCACAAATGTGAACAATTGCTAGGAAATCCATCATGAGTTATATCTTTTTCAGTTGTATTCTGTCTGCCTGTTTCTTACTCTGCTCTGCTCCTGTTCTGTCATTGAGAAATCCTAGCCATAATTTCTACTGAATGACTTAATACAGGCTTTAATACTTAAAAATCAAAAAAGAGATCTGCTTTGAAAAAGTACAAGTATAATGGGAGGTGGGGATATCATTCTTGTTTCTTCTTTTGCCCTGGTATCTGCTGCTGTTCCCTCCTTACACAGCCAGAACTGATCTGGAAATAGCACTGCCCCATAAAGCAGTCTGTCAGCCTGTTTCCATACCTCATTAGTAGAGTGACAAATCACAGACCCAGCGAAATCCACCCTGTTGTAATTCTCTCTCTTATACATTCACAAAATGGCTGACCCAGATTCAGAAATGACTTCATGCTTTCACTCAGTGCTCTGGCACACCAACGAGAGGTACATTTTCAAAGACAGTCTGAGCTGTCATCAGCTCTGGAGACGATTATCCCAGGAGCAGCCTATGTGCTTGCAGCCTTTGGTGATGGTACAAACAGACCTTGCTAGAGCTCTGTATGAAAAATGGGCCAGGTGCAATAAAGTCATGATAGGAGATCAGTGAAGAAAGTACTTATTTTAAAATATGGGTTTCAAGGAAGGATTTGACAGAAGAGTAGAGAGAAGCTTAAAGCCCTAAAGTCAGGGGCATATACAGAACCCAAGGGTAATGTGAAAACCAAAAATAGGAGGAAAGGAAAAGAGAGGTTACACGGCCCAACAAGAGAGCTTAGAAGGGTGCAGATTAAAATGCGGGCATAAATATAGACAGGGAGGAGCATTATGGAGCTTTGAACCTAATGGAATTTATGTGGCTAAAACTCTGACCAAGTCTGAAAATTCACCCTATTAAATCTTGATGCACTTTTCAAAAGCACTTAGCATTAGAATTCAGCCCCAGTTCCTGGCGCCAAGGAGTTTCAGGCACTAGGTTCCGGGTCTCTAGTCAGTGTAGCCATCTTTGATGAGTGGTAGCATTACTCTGAGTTATTACCAAAAAGGCTTATCCGTGGAGCAATCACAGTATTTCTTTGAGTATTCTCAACTTTTTCCCTGGCTTTAGTGACAGGAGGTTGATGAGTGTTAGTGAAGTGCATTTGTGGGGAGGGTGAAGCAGGATGGGTTGAATGGCCAGAAAACAGACAACATTCTAAGCTATACAAATAAGCAGATAACATTATATTTATGAATTGAGAGATCACAAACTATTATTGAAATGTGATGTGCAAGTGTGTGTGCCCATGTTTGTTTATGTGTCCACATGTTGAGTATATAGTGGGGAAATTTTTATTTTTTATCCTTGAATCATTTCCATGCTTCTTAGAATTTCTGTATCAACAATAAGGATATTAGAAGTATAACCAACTTTATTGCAAAAGGTCAGCTTTTCAATTGAGGCATGTCATTTTAACAAATAATTTGTTTAAAAACTTTCTGTTGGCCGGGTGCAGTGGCTCACGCCTGTAATCCCAGCACTTTGGGAGGTTGAGATGGGCGGATCATGAAGTCAAGAGATCTAGACCATCCTGGCCAACATGGTGAAACCCCATCTCTACCAAAAATACAAAAAATAGCTGGCCATGGTGGCACACACCTGTAGTCCCAGCTACTCGGGAGGCTGAGGCAGGAGAATAGCTTGAACCCGGGAGGCAGAGGTTGCAGTGAGCCGAGGTTGCACCACTGCACTCCAGCCCGGTGACAAAGCTAGACTCTGTCTCAAAAATAAATAAATAAATAAATAAATAAATAAATAAATAAATAAATAACAAAACTTCATGTCATAGAGTTTATTAACATTCCTGGCAACAACAACAACAAAATGCTGATGTGTTCTGCAGTTGGGTTTAGAAGAATTTTCTCGGAACTGCATCTGAAAACAGTAAAAGGCCTATTTATATCAAGTGGAAACTGAGGGTTGCTTGCAGATGGTGCTTTATTAGGAAATGAATTTGTTAATAAACGTAGCTTTATACATTTCTTTACAGAAATTTTTGTTCATTTTTACCTTAGGATAAAAATCTGCTGGTGTAGACAGCTCTGCATTTTGGTGCAATTTGTTATTAGTATAGCTTGCCAAGTAAATAATCACATGCACATGAAAGGATTGATATCACATATTAAATGTCTCCATCCTAAGTCAGTAAGCTTTTGAAAGTACAAAACTAACGTGTAGAGTGTCATATCCCTAAAGGGTCATTTGCTTTACATGCTGCTCTTGGCTGTGATCTAAGGCTATCTGAGGCTCCAATTGCCACAAAACTAGTGGCCTTAGAAAACTTTAATAGAAATGGTGTGGGATTTGTCTGTAGCTTATTTTAGTGGTTAGCTTTGTCAACCAGCTGAAAAATTATTGCTCACATTTGTGACTGTGCCTGTTTTGTTTCACACCCTATGCAGTGAACACTGTGAGTATAATTACCTTTATTTATTGTGAGTTAGATAGTAAACTCAGGTCCCTTGTGTGAGAACTGCAGAGAATGCTAGGATATTACCATTGATGTTCTAGATATGTCCATGCAGCTACACAGAAAAGAGACAGCTGCTTCAATGAATGGAAGGCCATCCAGTTGCTGTTTACAACTCATGCTAAGAATTTTTCACTTGATGTATTAGTCTGTTTTCATGCTGCTGATAAAGACGTACCTGAGTCTGGGCATTTACAAAAGAAAGATATTTAATGGACTTACAGTTCCACGTGGCTGGGGAGGCCTCACAATCATGGTGGAAGGTGAGAGGCATATCTCACATTATGGCAGACAAGAGAGGAGAGCTTGTGCAGGGAAACTCCCCCTTATAATAACCATCAGACCTTGTGATACTTAGTAACTGTCATGAGAACATCACAGCAAAGACCTTCTCCCATGATTCAATTACTTCCTATTGGGTTCCTCCCACAGAGCATGGGAATTATGGGAGTTACAATTCAAGATAAGATTTGGGTGGGGACACAGCCAAACCATATTAATCCACCCCCAGCCCCTCCCAAATCTCATGTCCTCACATTTCAAATCCAATCATGCCTTCCCAACAGTACCCCAAAGTCTTAACTCATTTCAGCATTAACTCAAAAGTCCACAGTCTAAAGTCTAATCTGAATCAATGCAAGTCCCTTCCGCTTATGAGTCCATAAATTCAAAAGCAAGTTAGTTACTTTCTGGATACAATGGAGGTACAAGCATTGGGTAAATACAGCTATTCCAAATGGGAGAAATTGGCCAAAACAAAGGGGCTACAGGCCCCATGCAAGTCCAAAATCCAGCAGGGCCGTCAAACCTTAAAGCTCCAAAATGATCTCCTTTGACTCCATGTCTCACATCCAGGTCATGCTGATGCAAGAGGTGGGTTCCCATGGTCTTGGACAGCTCTGCCCCTGTGGCTTTGCAGGGCGTAGCCCCCCTCCTGGCTGCTTTCATGGGCTGGCATTGAGTGTCTGTGGCTTTTCCAGGTGCATGGTGCAAGCTGTTGATGGATCTACCATTCTGGGGTCTGGAGGTTGGTGGCCTTCTTCTCACAGCTCCACTAGGTGGTGCCCCAACAGGGACTCTGTGGCAGCTCTGACCCCACATTTCCCTTTCACATTGTCCTAGCAGAGGTTCTCCATGGGGGCCCCGCCTCTGCAGTGAACTTCTGCCTGGGTATCCAGGCATTTCCATACATCCTCTGAAATCTAGGTGGAGGTTCCCAAACGTCAGTTCTTGACTTCTCTGCACCTGCAGGCTCAACAGCATGTGGAAGCTGCCAAGATGTTGGGTTCCATTCTCTGAAATGACAGCCCAAGCTTAGCCCCTTTTAGCCATGGCTGGAGCAACTAGAATGCAGGGTACCAAGTCCCTAGGCTGCACAGAGCAGAGGGCCCTGGACCTGGCCTATGAAACCATCATTTCCTCCTAGGCCTCCTGGCCTGTGATGGGAGGGGCTGCTGTGAAGACCTCTGACATGCCCTGGAGACATTTTCCCTATTGTCTTGAGGGTTAACATTCGGCTCCTTGTTACTTATGCAAATTTCTGCAGCCAGCTTGAATTTCTCCTCAGAAAATGTGATTTTCTTTTCTATTGCATTGTCAAGCTGCAAATTTTCCAAACTTTTATGCTGTGTTTCCCTTTTGAAATGGAATGCCTTTAACAACACCCAAGCCCCCTCTTGAATGCTTTGCTGCATAGAAATTTCTTCTGCCAGGTACCCTAAATCATCTCTCTTAAGTTCAAAGTTCCACAAGTCTCTAGGGCTGGGGCAAAATGCCACCAGTCTCTTTGCTAAAACGTAACAAGAGTCACCTTTGCTCCAGTCCCCAACAAGTAACTCATCTCCATCTGAGACCACCTCACCCTGGATTTCATTGTCCATATCATTATCAGCATTTTGGTCAAAGACAGTCAACAAGTCTCTAGGAAGTTCCAAACTTTCCTGCATTTTTCTGTCTTATTCTGAGCCCTCCAAACTGTCCCAATCTCTGCCTGTTACCCAGTTCCAAAGTTGCTTCCACATTTTCATGTATCTTTTCAGCAGCACCCCACTCCTGGTACCAATTTCCTGTATTAGTCCATTTTCATGCTGCCGATAAAGACATATCTGAGACTGGGCAGTTTACAAAAGAAAGATTTAACGGACTTACAGTTCCATGTGGCTGGGGAGGCCTCACAATTGTAGCAGTAAGTTAAAGACACGTTTCTCATGGCAACAGACAAGAGAAGAGAGCTTGTGCAGGGAAACTCCCCCTTATAATAACCATCAGATCTCGTGAGACTTACTGACTATCACGAGAACAGCACAGGAAAGACCTGCCCCCATGATTCAATTACATCCCACCAGATTCCTCCCATGAAGCATGGGAATTGTGGGAGTTACAATTCAAGATGAGATTTGGGTGGGGACACAGCCAAACCATATCACTTGAGGTATATCACCAGTTTATTTTTTTGTGCATTCTTATGAAAATACAATAGTACTGAGTCCAAGGCTATATCTGGGCTATTTCCAAACCCATCAAAATGAAGGGATAACTTTATACTTTTAGGGTGCCAGAAAAGACTCTTGAACTTAGTATTTGTCTTATAGCTGTGTGGAATCTAGAAAGCTTTGTACCTTCTTCTCTGCTAGTCCATCCCCTGGTAGTTGCATTTTGTTTATGCTTTTTTACTAACTCTTCCAACTCACTGGTCTCATTGGTATTCAAATTCATTTTCTTATCATATTCCTCCTAACTTTCTCTTCATATTTCCCCTAACTTTAGTGTCTCCCTAAGCTAAATGAAGTTGTCTCCAACTGAACATGTGTAGTTGATAGTAATACAAATAGAATACCTGGCTTTGCATTCTTTGTGATGGGAAGGTTGGAGATGCTAAAAGAGAAGTGATTAGGAAGGGTGTCCTGAGGAGGGGAGACTGAGACCATTCTCACAATAGCAGGACTGATTTGTCAGTCGGGGACACATAGAGGTAACCAGGGAGGGTTTCACAGAGAATGAATGGGAAGTTTGTTTTGAACTTGGCCTTTAATATTGGGTGGTATTAGAGTAGTTCAAGAGGAATCTGGAGAGCAGTTCATATGTGTGCATATTAGTCATATTAGTGATGGATAGAGATAATAGCATATACAGAAAGGGGAAGTGAGTAAAATGTGAAGTATATTCTAAGGATAAGCCAGTTTATCTGCAGCTGCGGGTATGTGGGACCAAAGTGAGAGAGCTCAAAAGCCAGACTGTCACTTATCTTGAATTTGTAGGCAATGTGGCAACCAGAGTGTAATGCTGAACTTGGCACGTTACTTTCCCTGTCATCCTAGGAGACCTAGGAATTCTCTCAAGACCATTGCCATCATCAATTCAAGCAGTAATTTCTGAGCTTTCCCAGGTTTGTTCTCTACTTCCCTACAAGAAAGGACATCTCAATTCTTCTCTTGTAACCATCCATTCTTTTTCAGTGTGCTTCCCCAAGGATTTTTCTAAAGTAATGCCGAACTGGCTATTTTATACCATACTTTTCTTCCCTTGGAGTCCTTGTCCTCCGCTCACCCCCTTTCTCCTCCATTTTTTTCATTGGCATTAGTCAAACCCAGAGATAGCTCTCAAGGATGGCTTCTTAAAGAGTATGCAAATACTTGGGATTTTTTTTCTTTCTTTTTCCTCAAGTCCTCTTCTTTCTCCTATGTATTTTTTTTTCTTTTCTAAGGCTGTATGCAAGTGGTTCTAGCCATCAGCATCCTAAAACAATGTCAGTGATTTCAACATGCCATTGTGTAGGTAGATCAGAGTATTTGGTTTCAGTGCATCTTTCTTGGTGCACTTTGCTTTTAAAGCCTTTGTCATTGTTTAACACTTTTTTTGGTTGGAAAGAAACCAAAAGATTGATTTATTCTTACTCTGTTTTAACAAAATTTAATTCTTATGTTATACACATTTCTGTCATCATTATTAATAATGATGCAATTTAAAACAGCACTATTTGATAATTTTAGTGATTCTTCATGAGGCAGTTGAAAATAAATCTCTACTTTGGAAAGTGTGAAATATTGCAAAGCATAGTTTTAATGAGGTATACTGAGATGTGGGTTTCTCTTCTGGCCTGAACTTTGTTTGTAAAATTAAGAGAGTTATTTTGCCTTTCTAGGGCTTTTGTCACATGAGGAGATTAGACTAACTCATTGGTGGGGTTGCTTACAGCTCTAAATCTTCTCTTTGTAGTTAAGCCCAAACCTATCTTGTTTGTATAGTAATTTCAGCCATTATCTCCCCCACCCATAACCCTCTAGGAGTATCCACAGTAGAACAACATGAAGGGATCTGAGCCCTGCCGGCACACATTCAGAACAGTTTCTGACTTTGTAAGACTAGGTAAATATGGGAAGACTCAAATTGGATCTTTTTAGGGATTGACTACCAATTCAGCTGGGGTATTCTTATATTTCACCTTTTTTTTTTTTTAAGGTAACAGCTATATGCTGAATTTTACCAGAAAGTACCAAACTGTAGACTCAGCACATAGCCTCCTAATCCTTTTGTCACCACCCACTAAAATAATGAAAGATAGAGAACTCCTATTTTCACATTACTTCTAGGAAAATATTTTGACAGATTCAGTATGCAGTAAAATGGTAAGCTTTTGTTACGTGTGTTCCAAATCATCTTGTTATCACTGGATATATCGATTAGTTCAGTACTTTCTGAGCCAGTCATAAAAAAAGACTTCTCTCGTTCTGCATGAAAGAATAAGAGAAATTGAAAGGTAGATAACCATATTGATTCAACCCAAATAGTAAATGCAAGGGGCTTTAGACATAAGTCATAAATCTCTTTATGGGAGTTGTAAGTCTGTTTGGTATTTTCTATTTGACATGAAAGAAAATAATCTCTAATTAACCATCATTTTAAAGTGAACTATGCTTTGATTTGAGTTTATAATACAGGTGCCAATAACATAAACCTGTTACCTTTATACTTTGTAGTTTACAAATGCCTTCATATGTCTTATCTTGATCCAGTTCTAATGGGGTCTGGAATTATCATAATTTTCTTTTCTGCAGAAACTTAGTCTCGGAGAGGCTAAGCGTCACTTGCCTAAAGGCACACAGCCAGCAAATGGCTATGGCAGGACCAGGACCCAGGCTTTTAGTGATACTTCCACGTGGCATTTGGTGTATGGTGTGCTACTGTATATGTATGGGTTAATTTTCTAAAAGTAGCTCCTCTACTGGCACGTAAAGGGCAAGAGAATAATGAGCTGAATCCAGCTTAAGTTAAAATTCCCTTCTTAGGTTCATATTTCGAAAGTCTGGACCAAACACACCAAAAAGAGCAATTTTTCTTGTGGTATTACAGGTTATAGTCATGTGTTTTTCATTTACAAATATGGTGAGAAGTAGTGTTTTTGCAATATTCCTAAATGAGTAACATATGACACAACTTGTTAGAGGACTTTTTCTTGGTTCATAAAGTTTCTGAGTTTTTGTGTCTTTAGTGGGATGACTTTATCAGAAATCCTCAGACAACACAGCTAAAATCTAAATTTCTGTGGTTGAAACACAGCCACCCTCAAGAGAAACCTTAGATGTAAATGAGAGGTCAGTAAAAAGTGGGTATGAAACTAATTGCTATAGAGGGAGTAAGACTTCTCTCAATTGTTTGAGCCCCTGAAAAATAGATTAATTTAAAAAAACTGTCTAGGATCATCAAATTGCAAAAGTAGTTAGCAAGGAACAGACAGAATTTGTGACATTTATTCATAGACACTAAATGGGTGAGTGTCGCTCTACCTCAGCAAAAGAACGCAGATGGTCCATAGATAGTCTACTTCAGAAAATAACTGTGAAAATAAATGAACTAAGTAGCTGTGAAAGTTCTCTGAAAAATGTGCAAGACTCTGCAAATGGGAGGCATATTAGTTTCCTGTAGCTGCAACAGAATATCACAACTGAGTGGCTTAAAACAAGAGATTTATTTGCTCACACTTCTGGAGACCAGGAGTCCAAAAAGATGCCACACTCATTCCCAATACTCTAGAGAGAATATTTCTTTGCTTTTAAGTAGCTTCTGGTGGCCCCAGGCATTTCTTGGCTTGTGGCAGCATCATGACAATCTCTGCCTGCATCTTCACATGGTCTTCTTCTAGGTGTGTCTCTCTGTGTCCTCTTCTTCTAAGGACATCAGTTATTGGATTTAGGGCCCACCTTATATCCCAGATGATTCATGTCTAGATCCTTAACTACCTCCATCTGAAAATACTATACATGTATCCAAAAAGGTCACATTCTGAGGTACTGAGTGGACATGAATTTTTAGGGACTAGTATTCAACCCTGTATAAGAGAGGTCATTCTTCCCATTTTTCAGACTAAGAATAGAGGGAGTCTATGCTGTGCTCAATGTGAAAAGCCTAAGCCAGTCTTTTGGAGGGAGGTGGGCTTCTCCACCTCAGAACTGACTTCAGGTTTAGTCCACAATGCTTCTGAGCCAAATCTTTAAGCTGTTCAACTTGACTGCGACTATGAGAAAGACAATGGCTCTGGATAAACTGGTAAAATATAATTGTGCAAAAATGAGATTTAAAAATCTTTTAGGGAAGTATAAAGTTTCTTTTCACTTAGATAATAGATAAAAAATAATTTATTAGTACAAATTGACTTTTTTGTGAGCTAGAGCTAGGTGGGCAAACCTTTTCTGAAAAATAATTATTTTCTACTATACGGGCTATATGGTCTGTCTGTCACAAATACTTATCTCTGCTATTGTAGCATGAAAACAACCAAAGACAGTACATAAATGAATGGATATGGGTGTGTGCCAATAAAATTTGATATATGGATACTGAAGCTTGAATATCACATATGTCCATGTGTCATGAAATATTCTTTTCCTCTTTTACAAACATCTTAACAGTGTAAAAAATACTCTTAACTTGGGAGCCAAACCACATCAGGCAGTGGGCTGGATTTGGCTGGCAAAACTTAGTTTGCTGACCCCTGGGCTAGATCTAGACAAAGTTTCACACAGCAGAACACATTTTGCTTCTTGTGCCTGTTATCAACAGGAAGATGGTTTTTAGAAAGTGGGGAAAGTCAGTTTTGTTCTTGTACAGAGCAAAATCCTAGAGTCAGGAGAGGTATCTATAGTCAAGGAAGAACTGGCCAAGGGAGTAGAGGCTCTCCCAGGTCTAGGCCTACAGACAGGTGGATGTAAATGTTGTGTACCCAGGATTTGAAATACTCTTTAACACCACAAATCTCACCCTCTATTCAAGAGAATCTTTTTTTCTTAGTGACTTATAGGGTGAAGGTCATTTTACCTTTTGCTTCCTTAGAATTAGAGTGTCTGGACTCCCAGCGCAGGAAACCATTTGCATACCCAGTCTTGGACTCAGAATCACAAGATGTAAAAGAGGTGACCACAGAGATAACTGCTAAAAGGAAGCCAGCCCTATTATTTTATCTAAGGAGAAGGTGGCCTAGGCCAAACCCAATTGACATTCTGGAATCCCCTATAGATCAGAAGGACAAAAGCATGTATTTGACTTGGGTGTGGGGAGGTAGAGATTTCTAAGATTCTTAGAAAAACAAGTCCTCTTGTATAGCCTACGACTTTGAGTCAAATTAGGTGAAAGGGTTGATGGTCTGTGGCATCCCCTACAGGCTTTGCATAGCTGATGTGTAGGGGTGTTTTAGTATGTGCATGCACGTATGCATGTGTTAGGTGTCCATGTGTCTCTTTGGGGAGGGGGTGCTGAGAAAGCCAGTGGACTTCTGGAGGAGGCTAGAAATTATGGCATTCTTGGTACTTTCTGAAATTTTTGCCCAGCAGGCAGGGAGATATCTAGGTTCCTAAGTGATGTAGAATGAAGGAGAAATAACAGACAGGATCTGTTTAGTTAAGGCTTTAAAGATGAGGTGAGGTTCAGCAAGGGCTTTGGGAAACACATGGGTTGATGGAGAAAAAAAAAAAGGAGGCTGTATCTTAGATGTAATGAACTGCATAAAGCCTTGAAAGTTAGCGGGGCTGTAAGGTCCATGCTTCCTATGAATGGGATCATGTCACTCACATCTTAAAGTAGGTATCATAGAAGAATGCTCCAATGATGTTGCAGTTTCATGAAGAAGTTTGGTGTTGGGAGAAGTAGCTGCTATGCTGTATAGTTTCAAAGTCACTGTTCTCATAGAAAACAGGGTGAATTATGACTTCCAGAGTCAGTTAAGGAGATGGCCCCAGTTCTAGATTGAACCTATGCTTTGGCCTTCCTCTGCTTGTCAGGTTCTCTTATTCATCTAGACCTTGAAGTGAACTTACTGGGGAAGCTGATTTCCTCTGGGACATCCAGAAATGCCTTCCTTGTGCATCTGCTGGATATGGAGACCAGGATGTTCATCCTGAGTGGGGTCTGACTAAATGTTCTCTCCTGTGTGTTGAGACCCCCAAAACTGCCTTTCTGCAGTTCTACTCTATTTAACTTGAATAAATGTGGCCTTCAGATTCTTGGGAAGATAAGAAGCTCTAACTTCCCTTCCCAGTCAAGATTGATGGATAAAAAGGGCCTACACCAGAGATGTAAGCCTGAACCCACAATCCACATATATTATAATAAATCTAGAAGGAGTGGTCTTATTCAATACTGGAGGAAAGCATTTAGCTCAAGGACAAACATTTTTAAAAACCTAGTGTAACATTTTGAGTGAGTAGTTCACACTGAGTTTGATACTATGAATTGTGATTTTTTTTTTTTTTTTTTTTGAGACGGAGTCTCATTCTGTCACCCAGGCTGGAGTGCAGTGGCACCGTCTTGGCTCACTGCAAGCTCCGCCTCCCAGGTTCACGCCATTCTCCGGCCTCAGCCTCCCAAGTAGCTGGGACTACAGGCACCCACCACCACGCCCGGCTTATTTTCGTATTTTTAGTAGAGACGGGGTTTCACCATGGTCTCGATCTCCTGACCTCGTGATCCACCCGCCTCGGCCTCCCAAAGTGCTGGGATTACAGGCATGAGCCACCACGCCCGGCCCGTGATTTTTTTAAACTCTGAAAATATTATCTTACAGACTGTTTGAAAGATTCACTCGATACCTGTAAAATCCAGTATTTTCTTTTATTCATTCATTTACCGAATTTGCATTGAGTGCCCATTGTGTGCCAGGTACCATGCCAGAAGCTGGAAAACTGAGATGATGACATGTTGCCTTATCTTAGGTAGCTTAAGTCCAGAGATATAGACACAAAAACAGAAAAGCCACAGTGAAGTATAATAGAACAGTGTTTGGTATTCTCTTTAAGCAGACAAAGAATAGCTATCTGAGGTGTTTAGAAAAGCTTTTTCAAGGAGGTAGTAACTTGAGGCTAGCTCTTGGAGTATGATTGGAAGTTTTCTTGGTGAAGAAGTGGAAATATAAGCTTTCCTGCAATGTAAACCCACATCAAGTTGTAAATTGGCTTGATGGCTTCTGGGATTCATGAGACACAAGAGTCAGCTGTGTTTGGAGAGAAAAAGAAAGATTGGTTGGGAAGACTCGGGGCTTGGTATCACCTCTACATGATGGGGAGTCTTTTAAATCATTAAAAGGTAAAGGGCATAAGGTATAATCATGGTAAATAATGTTTCAGAAAGTCCATCTTGACAGGATGATTGGCAGGGGAGTTGGGGGAAGGGAGTAACATGTTAGGGCTGGTGAGATTCGAGGCAGAAAGATTGAAAAGGCTGTTGAAATATTCCAGGCCAGAAATGCTAGCAATTTGAATTAGGGTCATTTCTGAGACAGATTTTTAAGTCTGATTCAATGGAAATCAGTGATTAATTAGATGGGCCATTGAAAGGAAGCCCACATAGAGGAATTTAAAATGATGCTGAGATTTCTAGCTTGGGCAAGCAGTGGATGGTGATACCATTACCCAAGATTCCTTTCTTTGACACTGAGAGCTTCAGAAAGCAGGTAAGTTTTTCCCTTTATCTCTTTTATTGTCATGCTGTCATGATATAGGCTTTGAATGTCATGATATTTGATTAATGTTTGCACAGTGCTTCTTGTTGTAAAGCTATGTACAAAAAATGATCATTTCCTTATGCTTCATTGAAAGATTTATTTCTTACAAATGGCCTTTTTGGTTCACCACTTAAAAATTAATGTCTTACCTCAGAGAGGTTTGATAGTACTTTAGAGAGCATGGGAAAATATGCTGAATATTTTCTTAGAAATCATAGAAGTGATAAGTTTCTATTAGTAATGCAGTATATTAAATATTAAATTATGTTTTGTCTTTTGTAGTTTTTGAAGTCAAATGAACACATTACCAGTTGAATTTATCTTGTACTGATAGCTGTGGACTTTTCTATGATACTTCCTGACTTTGTTTCTTTTAGACTGAAGCTGGCTACACAGGGAACATGTTTACAATGGAGAGTGGGAATGACTTTGCACTCAGTGCTATTCTCTCCCTCAGTCCCTATGATAAAATATTGATGGAGAAATCGCATCCTTTGATTTTGGTGGAGTTGGTGTAGGGTTGTTCTGACTATCTGTATATAAATTGTTACCTCAAAAACTGTTTGACTCAGCTCCCCTGCCTTTATTTGGTGACCATGGACATTGCCTTTTAGTTAAGATCAGTGAATTTCTGGTGGTAGAAGCAGGAGGAAAGAGTGGAATTGAATGTACAATATTTTTGCACTCCATAGTTCCTAGGATTGCAATTATGTTTTTTTCAAATATAGAGAAATTAATCATAATGTATTTACTTGACTTTACTTATGCAGTCAGTCTCAGTTCTCAACTATTTGAAATACTCTGTAACTCCCATATACTTTTGTATTTTGAAATTGCTGTAAACACAGAGATTTTGAGATCTGAAAGCTTCACTTCTTGCAGTGAAGAATATAGAAGCCTGGCAAGAGAAGGCCTCACCAAATGCCTCACCTTGGCTAATTACAGAACTGAGCCTTGAACTCTCTACCCACAAATCTGGGCATTAAGTGAAAAGAAAAAAAATCAGCATTTTGAAGAACAGCTTATATTCTGTTAATTCACATGAATTGAAAGAGCAGTACTCTGAGAAAACGGAATCATTATTTTCTTTGAGTGGGGGACAAGGAGTGGCAGTAAGACTGTAGAGGTGATAGTGGTACTATTTATAAAATTACAGATTCTTGATTCTGAGAGGGCTCTGCAAAGCCAGCCAGTCCAATTGGCTTAATAGAAACACATTAGTCTGCTTTTAGGCTGCATATTCCTCACTCAGGAATGAGAAAGTCCTGAAAAGTCACAGGTGAAACCTTCATCTGAGAGAGCTTGCATCAAAAATAATCAAGTGCAGTGTGGAACTTGGCCATTTTCCATAACCCAAAGATACATATAAAAGTTCCTTAGTTGGTAGGCTCCAGCAAACATATTAGCCATATGAAAAAGCAACATCTAACTTCTATATTTTGACTTATGAAGGAAAAGGCCTCCCTGTCCCATAAATATGTACATTTCACCTCCTGTGGGGAAAAGAAAGGAAATTGTAGCTACAGTGTGTTATTGAATCTTCCTGAAATTAGCCTTTAGAGTTTTAGAGTTTGGTAAGATTGAACGATTGACTGCCAATGCCTTCCACACACAAAAAACAAAAAAGTATTATATGTTTGCATCAACACTCGTTCAATGCTGAAATACAGCTAGTCAAAACCCATGTTAAAGTTTTTCATATATTACATAACACCGCTGTATAATACATTAAAATACATACTGGATTGGAGATAAATTACTGAAGAAATACCAGATTTCGTTTGTAGGTTTTAACTGCAACATAATTCATTGTGTGATTTACATAGGTAGACATAAGTACATTTCTTTCCAAACTATATAGCAATATACGTATAAAAGCTATAAAGTAAAAAAAGCAAAACCATACTAGATGACTGCTAAGAAAAGATGAATGTTAATTTTTTAAATAGCAATCTGATAGTAATTTTAAATAGCAATCTGATAGTAAACATGATACAAGAGGAAAGGTTTTACTAATAGACATTTAAAAATTATGTCTTCATAAATCAAGAGGATATATTACTTAGAGCTAGAAATAACAGTGCCGTGCTTCCTGTTTTGAATAAGCCATTATGCATTTTTGTCTTTGCATCCCTATTTAATTTGTACAGTGTTATTTATTCCAATAATTAGTGTTAACTTTCTTGGCAGTAGGCGTTATAATTACCTTTAAAATTTAAATGGGATAAAAATGCCTTGAGAACATGGTTTAGGAAAACTCTTAATATTTATTTTCACTTGTCTCTTTAATTATTCATTTATGTAGTATTTGAAAGAAAATCTTGAGAAATGGAAGGCCACTGACAGAATTACTTCCCAGATGAGCAGACTTGGTTTTTCAGTTGGTTGGGTGACATTCTGGACTGTTGAGGCATTAGTGATGCCAAATGGAAGCTCTACTACCCATTCAACATTGCCAATCTAAATACATTTCACTTAGAACAGCACAGGCCACTTTTTCTTATTCTCTTTCTTCTGAAAGTAAGTCATTATTTAAAATAAGCCATTATTCTGAAAATAAGCCATTCACATGACTTCTGATTTCAAATATACATATGCAGGTGATTATTTTCCTAAATATATAAATTAATTTGAAACTAGTTTATAATCTTGATAAATGCTGTAACTCTGAATAAGCATACTAGTCTCCAAGAAAATCAATGTTTCAAAAGGTGGAAGGGATAAATCTAGCCTGTCCTCAGCCATTAAAAAGTACACAAGCAATGTCAAGGTAAGGTTGACAGTATTCATTCATTTATTATGTATTGAGCACATCTACATGCATAATATAGTTTTAATCTTTACAGGGGGATCCAAAAACTTTAGAAGAAGAGATGACTGGATTTTTGCCAATTCCAGTCATAATACCTGACACAGAATAGGTGCTCATTAAATACATGCTGAATAAGTGAATACATCCCCTGGAGAGCTGAAGAGTTCATAGCATATCTGAAGCAATTAGACAATAATAATAAGAAAATGTGTATGCAGTTGTGTGATAACAAGTTATAAAATCAGGGTATTGCATGTGCAGGCCTTTCTTGAAGATGACAGCCCAGAGATTGACCAGAAACAAGTCTGACATTTGAGGAAGTTAGCCTTCTAGGTGAGAGGAATTAGATAATCAAAGATCAAGAGTAGGAGTAAGCGTGGTTTCGGTAGGTAACAACCAGTCACTAAATTAAAAAAAAAATCAACTTCGTTTGACCTTTATCAAGCACTTATCATATGCAGAGTATGGTGCTAGGGCTTTGAGAGACACAAAATTGGAAAAGATTGTGTTCTGCCTTCAAGAAACTTACATCTAGCAGGACAATTTTGATATATTCACAATAACAGCAAAGCAACAAAATGAAGTAAAAAATCAGGGTTGCAGGAGAGTTCAGAGTACCCTGGGAGCCCAGAGCAGACAGAGGTGCATGCTGGCAGGTGGATTTAGGATGGCTCTAGGGAAGTATGGTATTGGCATCTGCACTAAGCCCTACAAGACACTAGGATGAAATCATGGGCATTCATAAACTTTTGGGGACTTCATCCTTTCTGAGAAGCTGGTAAAATCTCTACCCCCATGTCTCAGAAAAATGTGACTTGGAAATACTCAAACCATTTTTCATGCAATTGCTTAGGCTTCCTGAAGTCAAACTGTGGACCTCCAAGGGAATCCATATACCCAGAGTTGAGACCTTTGCGGTAGTGAGAGAAAACTTGCTTTGGAAAGGGATAGAGCCATATTTAAATTGCAACTGCTACCTTTAGCTTTGTGATTTGGACAAGTTTCTCAAGCCTTCAGAGTCTCAATTTCCTCATCTGTAAAACAAGGATAATAATACTTACTTGAGATTATTTTAGCATAGAACAAGTTAACAGAAATCACCGGATCACACCAGGCACCAAACACATTCTACTTTTCACAATACCTTGGGGCTGCTTATGTTTTATTGAGAGCAGGGGAGTTGGCTGCATAGCTGGGTTATTATCAAGTGCTGTCTTTTTTCTATCCTTTCTTACCAATTAACAGATTATTTGTATTTTAGAATAATCCTCAACATGCAAAACTTTATGAGTACACAGGGCGAAATTAACTGAGAAATATCCCACACTGGATTCTTAGGATAAGAACACCAGAAAATGAGCCTAAATGTTCAGTTGTAATGTTGATGATCACAGTGTGCTAAAAGATGTGTGTGTGTGTGTGTGTGTGTGTGTCAGTGTGTGTGTGTGTGTGTGAGAGAGAGAGAATGAAGAAAGGAAAGAAGAAAGAAAGAAAGAAAGAAAGAGAAGAGAAAAAGAAAGAGAAAGAAAGAAAGAGAAAGAAAGAAAGGAAAGAAAGAAAAAGAGAAAGAAAGAAAGAAAACAAAGAAAGAAGGAAAGAAAGAAAGAAGAAAGAAAGAGGAACGGAATGTTAAAATGGGACTTTAGTAGTGTCTCTGTTTTTATTTTCCCCACCAGAGGGCTTTGGGCTTTCTTAGGCCTCAGGTATTTCCATCTTCATGTATTTCCCCATGGTTTGTTTTGATTTACTGATGGATGACTCAAGATTTTGGTAGAAACATGCATACTCACAAAGAAACACACAAACACACACATACACATGCACAAAAGCATGCATAATAACAGAATAAAAGCAGCAGGTGACAAATACATACTTTAGCTGTTGTACAAACTTATAATGTAGCTTTACAAACATGATTTTTAGTGAAGAAATAAAAGAAGGGTAGTGATGGGTGGTTAGGTTTAGAATCAAAAGTTACTCAGCTGGTTGTTGTACAGGTGGCTCAGTTTGGCTTTGTATACTGTGAACGTTTTGATTGCAGGGCTTAAAAATATGTAATCCTAATTTTAAGAAAACTAATGGAATAAACACTCATTATGCACACAAAAGCCCTTCCATTCAGCTTTTCATTGCTTTGCAGTTATTTTCTCCAAAATAAAATGAGTAATTATTTGGAAGTACTTTCAGCACATGCACCATGTGGGCTAAGCTTGTTCCCGACATCTACAATCCTTTGAATGGAAGTGCCAAAGGCCTCCTGCCACCATGGGCCACAGCCAAGTGTCATGTGAACCTGAGTCTCACAGGTTACATGGGAAATAAAGGACAGCCAGACCAGCCCGCTTCTGGGAAAGATGCAAAATGCAGGAACTAGAGAACAGCGATGAGGTGTTTTTGGAGACTAGGCACCAAGTACGTATATCTTATGTTTAAGGATGGGTGGACAGGTGGATGGATGGATGGATGGATGGATGGATGGATGGATGGATGGATGGACATTTCAAGCAAGCCTAAGGACATAGTAAGTTTAGGATCTACATAATGGCTCACCAGGGCATGCTAATTTACTTACATAAAAAAGAAATCTTTTTCAAAACATTATACTTGTGATTTGGTTTACCAATAGTTAACATTCTATATTTTTTAGCAAAAACATATTAAAAATGTTCCTAACTTGTATTATTTGGATGTGTTTTTTTTCTTGTACTGAGAAATTCCAAAAACTTTACTTGGATAGATAAATACCTAAACCTCATGTCTTTGGTAGAGTATATCAGGGAATTGTGGTGCTCAGGAAATGGCAGATACTATTCTCATTATTATTATTGTTAGAAGGACAAATAGTTCTAGAGTATCAGGAAATGAGAGTGGATATAGCGTGGTAACACTCTTGTCTGAGGTGACCTGAGTAGAGAGATCAACAGAGGACTTTGCCATCATCTAGCTGATGAGTTGTGTGGTCTTGGATTTTCTTGTGTTGGTTACACATACACTGAGCAGGTTGCGTCTACCCTCTGAGCTGACTTTCTCAGCTGTATCAGAGGGAGAAGTAATCTTTGCTTTTTACTTTCTTTAAAAGGCTGTGTGACTATGTCCTGAGGTTGTGGATTGTGAGTGCTGTGTAAACTGTGAAGTGTTTCGTGCTTGCAAGATGAGGGCTTCATACATCTTCAGTAGAGCTCCCCAGATGCTTTTATCTGTGCAATTAAAATTACATATGTGTTCTTTTCAATTTCTATGGTTGCAAAAATGAATGTATCAGTCTACGTAGTACTCAATGACAGAATGGATTTACTTTTAAAATACCATGTTTTGAGCTCTAGCTTTGCATATTTATGAACTTCTGGAGTTGTCCATGTGGATGTTTCCTATGCTACCCTGCTTTCTTGCGAATGAAGAGGTCTGAAATGCTTCTGGAGTACTTCTATGTCAGTTTTGCTTATATGCATTTAACATGTTGGTCTTACAGGGGAGACATGTCTTTTTTAAGTATAAAGTACATATTTCTGGCCTTTTTCTTCCTTCTCTATTGATAAGTTGTAACTGCAGTTTTTGTTTGTAGGCTTTCCAAGCCTGGTGATTTTTCATCTGATTCAACCTTTCTCTTGACAAAACACCAGCCTCAAATGCTTTGCCCATTCCTGGTCAAGGCTTAGACTTGCACCCTTCCCTAGTGGCAAGAGACTTTCAGTTGGCTTGTTGCCTCTCGGAAGACTACTTTCATTGCATCGCTGACTTTTTTTTGGCTTTGGAGGCTTGGGGAACTATTTAGAGCATTTATTTATATGAGGCAACATTGCCCAACAGAAAGTTACTTTCTGTGGACTTTCCATCATTAAGATGAATTTGTGCCTGGTATACATTAATTTCACCCATACTTAATATCTCAGAAGTTACCCTGTGAGACACCCTGTGCAAACATTTTAAATGAATTAGATCTATGTACAATCTAGGTCTGAAAGGCATTAAAAGTTTTTAAAGTGTCGTCATTAGAGAAGAAGCTATGGAGGCTACTTTTAATAAGAGTTATGACAAAAGACATGTCTCTGACATAAGACCAACATGTTAAATGCACAGAAGCAAAATTAAGAATAGATTATTATTGTCATAAACTAATTAATGCATATTATTGGCCCTTACTAATCAGAGGCTTTCAAATTAGAAATAGTTAGCTCTGAGATTTCTGACATTTTTGAATTTAGCAATGTCCAGCAGTGATAATTTTGAAGGAAGCTATTGGTTGGCCTTTAAGTTTGTACCTTCAGCTTCAAATTCAGCAAGTTCATGCAATATTATATGGGAGCCTCGGTAGATTTTACTGAAAATGTGATACATTTCTTCAAAAAAGTTTTAAAAGGCAGTATTTCAAGTTTGATTGATAAAGGAAGTATCCATAAGTTAATGAGGCAGTCCCAATTTCTAACCTGGGCCCTTTCTTATAAGCACAAGTTTCTGTAACTGCTCAAAATAGCACTTAGGCACTTAGAACAAATATATACCTGGCCCACCTACACACCTATTTGATTTTCTAAATGTTGGAGCTAAGCTCCTAAGATTGCAAATGAACCTCAATAAGCAAGTATCAATGTGAAGAATAAGCACCCCAGTAGCTAAATTGAGAAGTGCAATTGTAATTATTTGGTGAAATAGAAATCAGGTCATTGCAGCTGCACATTGTCGTAGAATAAGCTCAAAAGGAAAATGTCTTCATTTTGACTAACATTGCCATATTTTAACTTTGGGATTGTTATAACTTGTTTTTTCACAGGTATTATCTGTATTATGTATGTTTAGGAATCAAAGCAGTTCTTACATTTCAACAGCTAGGTAAAAATAAATGTGTGTAATTGTTGAAAAGTATTTTTAGTGTTTAAGGAGAAAGCAATGCTTTTTGATCTAAGTAGCATAACTCAGGCTGGATTCCGCAGTAGACATCCCTGACTATAGACATTTCTGTAGGCAATTAAGTGCAAATTAAGCATGCTAAGACCCAAATTAGAGTCAAATCTGATGTGAGCCAATTTACTCTGAACTACAGTCCTGGAGTGAGAAGTGATCTGCTAGGTTGCTGCTTAGCTCAGATCTTGGTGCTACCTCCACTGGGACAGGAGGAAAAGGGGAGATGGAAGGAAGAACAATGACCAGTGGCTTAAAGTAATTTAATAATTAACTTTCCACATTGGTTAATTTGTGCATTATTTACACAAAACCAGAAACATTTTTAACCCAGTGAATTATCCCTGCCCATAGCAGGAATTATTGGAGAATGCCACAGGAATATACAGGGCTATTGAAAGCATCTGCTTAGAGCCTTTAAAGCTTGAACCATGATAGCAGAAATGGTGACTTTATTTTTATAAAAACTTGAATTTTTGTTTTTTAAAATATTCTATTAAGCATTCAGTATTATCATTAACTAAATGACATTCCCAAATTCTAGAATGGGAGAGTAATTTCTCAGTGGAGAAATAGCTATTCTTATACATAATAAACAACAATGATTCTGGTGAAATACTATTGTAGATAGGAACCATTTAGGAGCCAATGTTCATGTATATGTAATAGTTTCAGAATCTAATGTTCAGAATTTCCAAATATCTCCCGTTTTCTGCATAGCTACCTCCCAGACCCGTATCAAAATATCACTTAATCTTCATTTTTTTTAAAATTACCGGTCTATTTATCTCTTTTGTAAATTTTCAGGGCTTTGACATAGAATGTGTCCAGGTGAAAATATATTACATTGTCTCTCTCTTTCTCTCTGTCTCAATCTCTTTCTTTCTTTCTCTCTCTCTCTCTATCTCTCTCTCACACACACAGACACACACACACACATACATACATATACACACACTCCTATCTGTAACCATTTTTCTTCTTTCTTTTCTTCTCAGGAGATTTTAAGCAAAAACAGCTATGAATTTTTCTATTTAACAAATACCAACATGGAATTCAGTAGTATATTAACAGTGGAAATTTTGAAGTCTGTATTTTTTTTAGCAAAGCCTAAGTGAATCTGTGAGAACTAATAAACATGATAACAAAATGTTGCATCTCATTAATTGTTTTTATTCTGACAAATTCCTGATGATTTCATATATATTTGAGACAATCCAGAAATCGAGCAATGGGGTGAAACCATTGATCTTATTTTACATATGCTGAATGAAAGGCCCAGGAAGAGAGAGATGCCGTAATTGACAACAGTTCTTCTGACTCTCACATAAATGTATGCAGCAGCAGTGCCCTTGTCTTTTGTTCTTCCTTCATTTAGACTGAGTCAATCCATCAGCACACATTGATTGAGCACCTACTCTGTGCTAGATAGTGATAGGGTGACTGTATGAGTTATTGTTCTGAGCAGGACAGTTTTGAAAGTGAAAAGGGGCATAAACTAGTGAAACAGATGCCCGACTCCAGCTGAGGGACCTTTGACAAGTGACTTCGCCTCTTTCAGTCAATTTCCTCAACTGGGAATGATGATAATATATGTATCAAGTGGCATGTGTATAGTGCCTACCAGTACCTGCTACACACAGTAGGCCCTCCAGAAGGTTTTGATTTCTTCCTCTTTCCTGGAAGCATTCCTACTTCTGGAATCCTGGGTGTTTTTGTCCAATACTTAATGGCATTTACTGAATGCTGCCTCCTATTGGGGTCCTTTGGGTGCATGCCTGTATTCTGTTAGTGCTGTTTAGACCAGAATTTCTTGGAGAGCTGGGTCTATGTCTTTTTATCTTTGCATTTACTTTGATGCTGCTAGTTAATTAATTAATTCACTAGCTATTTATTGAATACTCTCATTTAGCAAATAATATATATATTTAAGATGAGTACAGAAAGATAGGCAAGTAAAACAAACCTGTGTCAAATGAAAAAATAAGAACCTGTGGAGCTTAAAGGATTGATATAGTCTCTATAGATACTTTAACGCTTAAGCAGTGGCTTGTGACTCTAGGGGAATTTTCCTGACTACATTCAGATGTGCAAAGCATCAGTTTTGTTGTCATATATGTTGGCATTTTCATTGGAACAAGAAGATAATAAATACAAATAACCATCTCTATATCATAGGGTTTCCTTTTTTAAAAACAACAAATTATCAGGTTTCATTTTCAACTATTAAAACAATCTTGCCAAGAACTTATTTTTAAACCTGTAATTTTGTCAATTTTGAGATTTATTTCAATTTTTTTAGATGTCCAAAAAATAATTTATGCAGATTACAAAATCTAGTTTTCACATGAAGGTATCCTTGTTTCTTTATTTTTAATTCAAATCAATTAGGTACATATCAATGTGTTGATTTGGTAGCAGAAAATATAATATGTAATACCTTTCATACTAGAAAAAATGTTGAAGGGCATATTTTCAAATGTCATTTAGCTGATGAGATTTAGAGTTTTCTACATATTTACTTCTTAAGATGATATTGGTACTTAAGTAAGAGCTCATTATTTTAAAGCCTTTGATTTCCCTTCTGCTTGATCCTTCTGTGAAACCAGAAGCTTGTGTCTTTAGCTTCCTAGTCTCTTTTTATGCAATGTGGATTTTTTTTTGGTATGTGTAGTACAACCAAGGATGTCAGGAGGTGTGTCGCTTTGTTTAATACACATTGATGTTTAAACATTTAAATATTGCTAAAGAAAACCAGCTGGCAAATAATTTAGACGTATGTATGGTAAGTCATTCCTTTTTCCTCTTTCTCCGCTTATCCCCATCTCTTTCCCTTCTTTCTGTATTTGATAGCTACTATGCACTAGACATCAGATATGTATATGCAGCTGCCTTGTACACATCTCTATTTGGATGTTCCCATTGGGACCTCATATTCATAATAATTAACACTGAACAGCTGATGGCGCTACTATCTATGCCAGAAGCCTGGAATCACCTACAATCTCTCCCCCTCCCTCATGTTCTATAGCCTATCAATCACCGAATCCTACCTTCCTCATTTACTTTGAAACTGTAGTTCCAACACTTTGGCCATCACCTTACAACAGGTAAGCATCATGACTCAGCTGATTTCTGCTGCTGGTTTTCTTACCTCTGGCCCCACACTGCTGAACCCCTGCCTTTTCCACGTTGCAGCCAGACTGATCTCTTAGTGCCACCCATTGCCTAAAGAAAGAAGTCAAACCTCTGGAGATCCCCTTGTGACCTGGCCCTTGCTGCCCTTGCCAGCTTCTTCTAACTTACTGCCTTCCAGCTATATGAAGTGTGCCATCATACTTTTACCAGCTAATCTCAGTTTACTCTTGATATCCTTTGGGAAGACTTCTCAAAGCAGGTATTCCTCTTTTCTGTTCCTGCAGTTTTTGTAGTCCTTACGCCACTGAAACTCGTCTCACATTCTATTTTGATTGCCTGTTTACATATGTTACTCTCCCAATAGCCTGGAAACTCCTTGAGGGCAAGGAGTATAGTGAAATTAATTTATCATTGTATCCCTTGTACCTAGCACAGAACGTAGCACTTAAGTAGGGGCCTAATAAATATAGTCATGAATCACTTAACAACAGGGATGCGTTCTGAGAAGTGCATCATTAGACAATTTATCATTTTGTGAAATATGATGGAGTGCACTTACACAAACCTAGATGGCATAGCATACCACACACCTAGGTTGTATGGCATCCTATTGCTCCTAGTCTACAAACCTGTATGGCAAGCGACTATACTAAATACTATAGGCAACTGTAACACAATGGTAAGTATTTGTGTATCTAAACATATCTAAACATTGAAAAGGTACAGTAAAAATACATTATTATAATCTTATGAGGCCACCATGACATATGTGGTTGGTTGTTGACTGAAATGACTGTACTTGCTATAGTGTTCCTTGTTGTATTAGTTTGTTAGGTTGGCTATAACAAAGTATGTACTACAGCCTGTGTGGTTTAAGCAAAAGAAACACATTTTCTCCCAGCTCTGGAAGCTAGAACACTGAGACAAAGGTGTGGACAGTGTTGGTTTCTTCTGAGCCCCCTCTCCTTGGCTTGTAGGTTGCCATCTTCTTTCTGTGTCTTCACATGATCTTCCTGTGCAAGTCTGTGTCCTAATCTCTTCTTGTAAGGACATCATTTAGATTGTGTTAGGGCCCACTCTGATTACCTTGTTTTGCCTTTATCACCTTTCTTAAGGCCTTATGTCCCAAAACAGTGACATTCTGAGGCAGTGGGGGTTAGGATTTCAACATACAAATTTGGAAGGAGGCGACAAAACTCAGCCCATTGCACTTGCCCTTCAGATATTTTCAGACTAGTGCTTGATTGTCCTGAAGGCCTGTCTTACGAGATATGAATAGAAATGTTTGGAGTGGGATTTTCACAATGGCCTCCTGGAGTGTCTGTGGTTGGGAAGGTCCCAGGTTTTAAGTGTGTGTGGTCCCCAGGACCACTCCTGGGCAATGAGTTTCTCTTTTTCTAGTTCATGGATTCAACTGGTTTGATTGCTTAAGGAGCAATGATGATAGGCTGTGTTCAGGAAATCAGAGTTGAACAGATGTCTTTTGGTAATATTGGCTATACTGCCAGATCTGAGGGCTTTTCCTTTACTTTCAGTGCCCAGTGAATGATATTATAACTGTTTAGAATGTGACTATTATCAGAATGCAAACATGTTTGAAAAACTTTACCCTTAGCTTCTCTGAATTGACTTACTACTGTTAAGGCAAACTTGGATACTCAGAAAGTATTTGGCTGGCTTTGTTGCATTTTCACCTTCTTGATGAATGGAATCTATTAGTTATTTGCTTATTCAGAAACATGTGAATCATCTATAGCCGATTCTCTCTGTGTGTTTGACTGACTGACATTGTCTGCCATCTCTCAAGTATTCTTTCTGTATATAAAATCCTAGACTCCTGTGCAGTTTAAATATAAAATTAAAATGTTACCAAAAGACTCAGGTATTTTCAGCCTGGCCTGACAGCCCATCTTATGGAAGGCCTGTTTGAACTGATGGGCCCTTGATGTCAGCAGACCCAGACTTTTCAGGTCAGAGGAAAGAAAGTGTCTAGAATCATAGATCTTACAGAGAAAAGAGGCTACTTGCCTTCACTGCAGTTTGTAGTGAGGGACTGTTGTGATCAAATAATCAGGAAAGAGCATGCCTCAAGTTGTCAGAATGTGTAATCATTTTATGCCAAGTCAAGGATAACTCAGTAACTGAGCAAAAAGCTTTTTGTTTTCCAGTTAACTAGTTAGTTACAACCCGCTCTCTGGCAGTGTGGACCATAGAATCATAGAACCACAGAGAATGTAGCAGTAAGGACCCATAGATACCATCTAGTCTAAACCTCATTTAGACATTTAGGGAAATTGAGGCCCAAAGAAGAGAATGAACTTACTCAGGACTATGTGTTGGGCCAGAGACTGAGCTGGCACCTGCATTTAGGTCTCCTGACCCTCAGTCCAGTCTCCTTTCTTCATTATATCAGAGTGTTTAGGCCTCTGCCAGCCATCTCACCATTTAGAGGCACTATGGCTTACCATCTCAGTTGAGAGGCAAGAGTGTTTAGCAGTTAAGAGCATGTGCTCAGGGGCTAAACTGCCCAGATTTGTATCCCCTACTGGCTCTATGACATTCAGCAAGGCACTTCCTGTCTGTATGAGTTTGTTAGCATTACCAGAACAAAGTACCACAGACTTGGTGGCTTAAACAACAGAAATTTACTTCCCCACAATTTTGGAGGCTAGTAGTCTAAAATAAAGGTGTCAGCAGGGTTGGTATCCTCTGAAGGTCTCTCTCCTTGGCTTGTAGATGGCCACATTCTCCCCATGTCTTCATGTGGTCTTCCCCTGTGTGTATCTTAATCTCTTGTTCTTAGAAGGGCATTAGTCATTTTGGATTAGGGCCCACCCATATTCCCTCATTTAATTTTAATTACCTATTTAAAGACCCTATCTCCAAACATAGTCACAATCTGAGGTAGTGGATGTTAGGACATTCATATATGAATTGGAAGGGGGCACAATTCAGCCCATAACCGTGTGTCTACGCCTCAGTTATCTTATCAACAAAACAGGGATGATAATAGATTCTACCCCAAAAGGGTGTGAAGATTAAATGAATTGGTCCAACATAGAATGCCTAGAACAGTGGTAGTGTGGGTTGTTAATTCATAAACTGACAACAACAGAATCTAGGATTTTCATTTCATTCGCAAGTATGAAATCTAAGTGTTTAAAATGTCAAAACATTTTTCCTACTTTCATTTACTTATTCAACAGTTGTTTATTTTATATTTGTGTATCTTATATTGTGGTAGTTGCCATTCTGGTCTGAAGAAACTCATAGTCTAGAGCGGAGACACATGATTACAATGTGTACAAAGTGCAATGAAATACGAGCAGGGAGTCACTAAGAAGAACTAATTTGACCTAGGAGAATCTAAAAGGCTTCCTGGAGGATGTGAGTGAGGAGCCAAATCATGAAGTGTGAGTAGGAATTGGTCAGCAAGCCAAATGTAGGAAAAAATTTAGACCTAGGGCACAGCATGAATAAAGTCTAGGGAATGTGGTGGTGAGTGGACCCAATGTAGTTTGGTACAGCTGGAGTATCAGCTGTGTTGGGGAAAGTGGTATGTGATGAGACTGGACATTTTGCCATGCTCAGTAGGTTAGACTCATATTCTGTACGTTGAAGCTGGCTAATAGTGATGGCTGACATTACTAATTGATTACATCACTCATTCTCACTAATCCTGATTGAGACCTTAAAATCCATCTCAACACAGCTGTTTAGGCAACCATCACCATTCAACTGGAGTTGGCCTGTATCCCAGCTGTAGACAGTGACAATTATTAACGAATAAAATTAAGTCAGAAATATTCATTTTACCTAAAACTACTAGACTTGAGATTATTAGTTTAAAACTGCATAGTTCCTTAGGTTGCAAAAATGTTCTTTTTTTTTTTTGCCTGATTTGTAGATGTGATAGGAACATTCGTTGGAAGAACTGTAAGTAGATAACATGTAGTAAATTGGGTTTACAATGATTTTCTAAAAAAAGGAAAAAAGATAAAACTGTCTCACATTTTGATCTGAATTTATCAGGCTCTTGAAGTTCAATGAAATGTTCAAATACATCATCATATCATGACCATTGGAATCTTGGCCTAAAACTCAGCATCGGAAAGTTTCAAGGAATAATACGTCTTAGCGTTTTTGCTTCTACTAAGGGATACATGATTTTCCTCAAGAATGCAAACAAAGCAAAATCTTTAGGATTGCCCTCTATCGTAATAAGGCAAGCATTTAGGACTGGATGTATTGGTCAGCATTACTGATTTGTGTCACAAGACCCACAGTATTCCAGAAAACTTGACCTGCTTTTCTGTGTGCCATCTTAATACTTATGTTTTTGTTCAGAAAAGAAAAGGTTCCTGTTAGGGAGATAAACTAGATTAAAATGATTATTCTCAGTTTTGGTGAGTTGTATACAATTTTTATAAATCATGTACTATTCATTTCTGGCAAGATAAAGTCATTTATTTTGTGTCATACATATAATTATATATAAGCATATAAAACTTACATGTAGTTGCATGTTCTATTTGCTTTCTTAGGTTTTCTCTTATATGTGTGCAGAGACAAAGGATGGTATCAATGAAGCCATCTCAGGTCAGTTTCTTGAGGAAATTGATTCTGAGATGAAGATTTTTGCATGTGGGAAGGTTCTTGGGGAGTGCATTTATGGTCAACACTTGTGAAGGAGTAAAGAAAATGAAATGACTCTTTAGAGTTGTCCTGAATTGAGGCAAGGTGCCAGGGTTTTTGTTTTTGTTTTTGTTTTTGTGACAGAGTCTCGCTCTGTCGCCCAGGCTGGAGTGCAGTGGCGCGATCTCGGCTCACTACAAGCTCCACCTCCTGGGTTTACGCCATTCTCCTGCCTCAGCCTTCCGAGTAGCTGGGACTACAGGCGCCTGCCACCAGGCTGGCTAATTTTTTGTATTTTTAGTAGAGACGGGGTTTCACCGTATTAGCCAGGATGGTCTCGAACTCCTGACCTCGTGATCCACCCGCCTCGACCTCCCAAAGTGCTGGGATTACAGGCATGAGCCACTGTGCCCGGCCAAGGTGCCAGGTTTTTAAGCCCCTGCATCAACTAGTAATTGGATGTGGGCTGCCCCAGGAAGTAGGCACAACTTTGAGTCAGGAGCTTTCTTAGGGTAAGGGAAATTCTTGGAAAGGTGACTCAGTGGAGGGCAGCCAGCAGCCCGCTCTCCCAGAAGATGAAAGAATTAGTGTTTCTGCTCAGAAAGAGGCAGGGATCTGGGACACTTGGAACACACCATGGACGTGTTCATCTGGACAAATATGAATATCCTTTGCATCTTATGGAAACCTGTTTTTACATTGATGGTGGTACATTTAATAGATGTTTAGCTTATGATTTCCCATGTCTAATTTTAGTTCTTCTACCACTTCTCTCCAGAGTGGTCTGATATATGCTTCTTTTGCTTATATTGTCTTCAGTTGACTCAACTTGATGTCTGTTTCTGGCTCTGGCCTCCTGGACTAAGCCACATAAGAAAAGGCCATCATTTGCTGTATATTGATATAATTCTCCCTTCTGTACACATCAGATCTTGTCCGCCCAAGGAAAGGAAGTTAGATTGCCCAGAAACAATCAGTCGTTTCAATGGAATGCATGTTCCTGGCCTCACCTGGCAACAAGTTATTATGTGGCATGAATTTACAATGAATTCAACTTCCTTTCCTCTTGCCATACTTCAAAGTGAAAGTAAAAAGCTGAGTCCCATTTAAGAACCAACCCAAATGTCCAACAATGATAGACTGGATTAAGAAAATGTGGCACATATACACCATGGAATACTATGCAGCCGTAAAAAATGATGAGTTCATGTCCTTTGTAGGGACATGGATGAAATTGGAAATCATCATTCTCAGTAAACTATCGCAAGAACAAAAAACCAAACACCGCATATTCTCACTCATAGGTGGGAACTGAACAATGAGAACACATGGACACAGGAAGGGGAACATCACACTCTGGGGACTGTTGTGGGGTCGGGGGGGGGGAGGGATAGCATTGGGAGATATACCTAATGCTAGAGACGAGTTAGTGGGTGCAGCGCACCAGCATGTCACATATATACACATGTAACTAACCAGCACATTTTGCACATGTACCCTAAAACTTAAAGTATAATAATAAAAAAAAAGAATGAAACACCAGCAGACAGGAAGCTGTCCAATTGGCTAGGACCAACTTATTGATGATGCCTTATGAAGAAGGCTTTATTAGATGGAGAGGACTCTCAACTCAAGGGTGTGGGACTATTGCATACAATTTAATGTCCATCAACTTTGCTAGATAGGGGATGGAGGAGGGTCAAGTGGAGTTCATAAAGTTCAATAGCTACAATAAGTAAATTTTTTAGTGTTTTCAGTCTTAAAAGAAAACATTGGCTTTGTTGTGCCCAAATCATCTGTGGTTTGTTTGCATGTTTTGCTGCTTTAACTCCAAGAGATAAATGTACATAAGCACTATGTGTTCATCCTGCTAATGTCATTTAATTTAATGAGTTTAGAAAAATTACTTGATTAACCTTTTATAGTAAGGGTTTTGAGAATTTATGTTTACATTTTAAATTTGAAAATAAAATAATCTATCTTCAACCATGAACAAGGTATCACAAAGCACTTTTTTTTTTTTTTTTTTTTTTTGAGATGGAGTCTCGCTCTGTCGCCCAGGCTGGAGTGCAGTGGCGCGATCTCTGCTCACTGCAACCTCCGTCTCCCGGGTTCAAGCAATTCTCCTGCCTCAGCCTCCTGAGTAGTGGGGATTACAGGCGCCCGCCACCATGCTCGGCTAATTTTTTTGTCTTTAGTAGAGACAGGGTTTCACTATTTTGGCAAGGCTGGTCTCGAACTCCTGACCTCAGGTGATCCACCTGCCTCTGCCTCCCAAAGTCCTGGGATTACAGATGTGAGCCACCACGCCTGGCCTTCATAAAGCACATTTTTAACTACCATCCAGCCATTCCAGTTACCATTTGTGTGGGCTAGGTTTTACTTTTAGCTTCATTTCAACTTCACCAATAATCTTTTGAGAGCCTATTAAGTACAAATTGTATTCGTATGGTCAGGCCCCATCTGGTGACAGAGAGACTATGCATTTGGATGTTGCTGACACCTGGTCATGATGGAATCTGTGCCATTGGAAACAGAGGCCCAAGTATGTCTGAGATAATGACACTCTAGTGTAATGCATGTATATAGAATCCGAAGACAGGCCTGATGAATAACAATACCATCTGACAGCAAATAATCAACGCAGGAAATTTAGGCCACAACAGCTTGCTTGCTCTTTACACTGTCATGGTTGATTGGTTATTCTCATCACCCTTTGTTTAAAATCATTTCAGAATTAATTGGCATTCATTAACGAAAGTCTTTGCAGTGGAATTGCAGAAACAGTCATTAATGTAGCTAATAAACATAAAAAAGAAAAAAGGTCCTATTACTGGGTCCCTACAGGCTGTTAACTAACATTTTGAATAAGAATACATAAACATAAATTAAACATTTTTTAAACTGCTAAGAATGTGGGAATTTCACATGGTGGTCTGTAATAATGCTTTGAACTAATTTGTTCCTTTTTTAACATGTAGTTTAGAGAAAGTGATTCTGTTTAGAAATTATTATTGTGGGTGATCTCTCAGAGAAGCCAGGGCAAAGCCAAAGGTAAGCCATCTTATCAGCCAATAGATTTTAACTAAAACTAGAGCACTCAAATGTAAGTATGACAATAACAAAGTCTAACATCATGGAGTTATTTGATCACTTAGTAGGTAGGTTTCTAAGGTATAAACCTTAATGAGATTTAGAAAAGCACTCATTCCACAAGACAAAGAAACAAATCTTTCCTTTCAAGAAGTAATGCTTTATTGATCAGGTGCCTCAGTTTTGGTTTATCAGTGTTGCATAATGTTGTATAATGTTGCCATTAGAACAAACTCCAGAGAACATCCACATTATTTTGGAATGATGAAATGGTGCTGACTTCTGTTTCAGTTCAAGGGCCTAGGGCTTATAAATATTTTCAAATTAGTTCTCACTCATAGGTGGGAATTGAACAATGAGAACACTTGGACACAGGAAGGGGAGCATCACACACCGGGGACTGTTGTGGGGTGGGGGGAGAGGGGAGGGATAGCATTAGGAGATATACCTAACGTAAATGAGGAGTTAATGGGTGCAGCACACCAACATGGCACATGTACACATATGTAACAAACCTGCATGTTGTGCACATGTACCCTAAAACTTAAAGTATAATAATAAATAAATAAATAAATAATATTTTCAAATTAGTTTCTGACTCATATCTTTATCTTCATATACATAGCTCTGGTTAACTCCAAAATGTGCACCATTCTAGCAGAGCCTGGATAGAAAATCCATCAAATTTTCTTATTCTTCTGTAACATGACTAGGCATTTCCAGTTATCCAAAGGGAAATGGAAAAAATGGCATAAAGTTTTAAAACTTTACTTTCCTATTTAAAGGATATTTGTGTCACATGTCAGTGTTGTGTTTTTAAGAACAAGACAAGGTATGGAGAGAGTCTGTGCTCTAACACCAAATACAGTAGAAACTCCCTTAACTCATCACCCAATTCAAAATTTGCAAGATTAACCAACACTCTCTGAACCCTGTGGGAAGTATGCTGACTGCTGCCCATGATATATACATTGTTGGCCAGAGGCAATTTTTGGGTAGACTGCCACTTCTGCTCCCAAAAGTTGAATTGGATGGCTAGTGGGGGCTAGTTGTGTTTGCTCCCAACCCTGTTAATGCCAGTCATACATATTATTGTAGTTATGTAATTAAATTTAGTATTGCATAAACCAAAGAAAAATGAGTGGAAAAGAAGAAAGTTGTTTCCCCTATAAAATGAATGTTTTGGAAAAGTTTAGTGGTATCAGTTTCCTATTCCTTCTCAAATGGCTTTAAGTTCCTACTCCACTTTCAGGAATCTCAAATGAGCAACCTTAGAGCATGTATTGTAGATGTGTATGTTGTGGAAATCCAGTCAGTGAGTCTGTACTCAAAGGCCTTGGCCTTGAGTTAAAAGATTTACAATTTTATGGATGAAGTTATAATATAATTTTTAATATACCAAATGTTGTGATACCCCATTTAAATACAATCCTTTGATTTGATGGCCAACTGAGGGTTATAATCAATTCCAGTTGAAAGAGCTTCTCCTCTAACTGGAGAGTATCACCATTGTAGGCTGAGATTTACTGTCTCAAATGAATAATCAGTATTGAGCGTTATAGATCTTGCCTTTATGTCCTGCTACTACATCTACAGCAGATGGGTCAGGCCATTTACCAATCCGATCTCCTCAGGCACATTTCTTTCCCTAGGCCATTGTTCATACCATTTTTCCTTATATACAATGTTCCTTCTGTCGCCACTTTTTTCAATCTTTCCCCTTCCTCTTCAACAGGAGACATTTATCTAATTCCTAGTTCCCATTAGAAAAAAAAAAAGAACCAATTTAGGTAAATTTATAATTCTGAACTTTGGTTATTTGAGGTTATTTGATGTATCATCTTCATACTTGAGTAGCTGAGGTCATGGGTCTGCAAGCACCTGGTGGGGTTGTTGTATACAGGATGCAACAGAGTCCAGCCCAGGGCTCTGAGCCTTTTCTACATGGAAAATGATTTTACTGCATTTATAAATGATATGACTATAGCTGGTTTGAAATATATGTCATAGCTTTAGGCTAGAAAAATGTTTTGTTAATGTATTTGAATGTAAAATACCAGGACAGGTAATTTATAATGGGATATTGATACACTTTTAACAAATTCCAGATCTCCTCAGAAGTGCAAATGCTGAATGTATTGCAACCATGTATAATTGTATTATGGCAATAAACATATACGTGTGTGTCTAGAGTACACATGTCATTGCAGGCGTCATAGTACAGTGGATTTGTATTGAACTTTGACTAAAGTCAGTCCTGATTTCATTTAAAAAATTGTGTTAACCTTTGGTAATTAGAATATAAAACCAGGAAGACTCAAAATTGTTAGTCTAACTTTTGTTTATTGACTAGAACATCTAAATGGCTTTAGGCATCACAAAAGTATAAAAAAAGTGGCTTCCTATTGGGTCTTTGATCCATCTTAATTTATTTTTGATGCTGTATGCAGTTTCTGAATATCTTTTGTGGCTTGTAATAAAATAGCCACAGTGCAATTTTGCATGTATGTCAAGCGACGCGTGACCTGCTATGCAAATTTAATACCAAGGTGCCAAAGCTGAATTCATAATGTTTCTCAGCTACAGAGCTGTTTAAGGCAGTTTAGAAATCAATGAATATGTAATATGAAGGTGATAAGACCTAAATAAAAACCCTATTTATCTACTATGAAAAAGTATTTATACACAGAATACTTAGCACATGCAAAAAATGGACAGAGTTTCCAATTATATGGTTTGCATAAACAAATGTTAAACTGCGTGCTCTGAATAGATAATAATGTGACCAGTCCCTCTGCATTGTGCTTTAAACTTTGAAAATGTTTACAGATGTGTTTCCCCTCTTAAGATATAAATAAAACAAAATGTGCAGCTGAAGCAGTGGGATCTAATCTGAGTTCTAGTGTTTTTTTTTTTTTTTTTTTTCTGTATTTTATGTTAGCCTAGATTCTATACTTGATATAGGGCTGAACTTCTTTAATACCAGGGTAAGCAGACATGTGTTTTATGAAGTCTTGTGCTTTATTTTGCAATAAGAAAGATCAACTGACAGTGATTGATTAAAGTGAGAAAATTCTAATAACCCAGGTTACTGTAGAATGTGTAATATTATTTGGATCTGAACTTCTGATATGCCACTATTTAAATCTATATGATGCTATTGTTTCTGTTGGAGTGGTTATGCCATAATTCTGGTAAACATTTGAGGAGTTTGTACAGTAGCTGACTACAGTGTGAGAAGAGATTAACAGGGAAGACAGGACTTGATTGATGGGAGTCAGTCCTGGCTTTTTATCATGGGAAAAATATATTTGTGCTTCTACCCAGAGAGAAGGATAAAGCAAGTGAGTGTGTTTTTGTATGTGCAATGTGTGTGCTTACATGCATATGGAAGTGCGCATAGGTATACCTGCACATGCATGCATTCACACATACACTCAGTCTGTACTGTTTATGACGCCCCTGCCAGTCAGATTCCAGACACATTTATATCCTCTGGTTTAGAGTAAGCTGCTACGATAATGACAAATAGTGTTTAGAGCAGTCAAGGAAAATGTAGGGGTGATATTTGAAAATAGCATCTATAATGCCATCTGGGTGGTGCTGATACTTTGGAGAGCATGGAATACACCTATCTAGAGGGCAAGTGCTCTCAAAACAAAGTCAGAAGAAGGTCTATATGGTAGGGAAAGTCATGACTCTTGGTAGATAATGATGAACTTTCACTCAGGGTCTGTATTTAGGTCTTTGAAGGAGGAAAATCAATTTCTAGAAATTTAGCTCAGTTAAAGCCACAGTTGGTCCTTAGATAAGCTGCCAGAATAGACACCACAGCTAGAAAACTGATGGGTCCCTGTCTTTGAATTTTTACTTGCCATATGTTTCCTTTGGATAGCAGCATACTCAATAAGAATGCTTAAAAACCAGACAGTAATTCTAAGGAAGGCCAAAATAAAGAGCAAGTATAAGTATATCCGATCAAATGTCAATGTTTTAATGTTAAATTTTATTTAGATTGTTTTGGGCCATTGTATTTTCTTTTAAAAAGCTTAAACACACAGTAATTTATGCATTTCACCTGAAGGTTACATATCGTTTTACAAATGGGATGTGATTTCAGGCACTGTTCATCCTGTTTAAGAAATGGAGAAACTGTCAGGGTATGTGATGTGATTCTCAAAATATCAGTGACATATTTGGGTTGTGGAGACTGGTGAAATGGAGATGTGGCAATTACCAGGGTCATTTCAACAACAGAGACAGCCAAACTTGATAATTCAGACAAAAAATTATCTACCTTGGCCACTTTCATTGAGCAGATGAACTAAAAAGTTGCCAAATCTCAACTTCCTGATGCTCTGTTCAAACCAGCCTTCCCTGCAACAGGACCAGGCAAGCAGGCTGACTCCCAGGGCAGGCTCTCGTTCTACTTAGCTTAATTAAATGTGCCAGGCACCCGAAGTGGTGGAGTTACCCAAGGGAGTATTTGAGCCCCATATTGATCCAAAGGAAGGGAGTACTGTTGAAGTGTGTGTGTGTGTGTGTGTGTGTGTGTGTGTGTGTGTGTGTGGTGATTGCGGGGGGATTCTATTCTGAAGTGCCCACCATGTTTCTAAAAGAGCCTCGGTCCTGGCACTGAGGCACTCCATCCTCCACAAGCTCCACTCCCCTGATATGTTCTTTCCAATAAGCTCTTCTGTCCTTGGCTTTTTGCAGATGCTGCCGTGAAGAGGAAGTTAATAACAGGTGTTTTGGAATATAACTACAGAAAAGCATTAAAAATTGTTGTTGTTGTTGTTGTTTAGAAAGAACATCTGTAGACTCAATTATTTTTCAAGATTCTAATTTACTGCTGTGCAAACTACAGGGCAAATTATATTATATGTATTTAGCCCTACTCTGTTGCTATACTCCTGAGAATTTAATTGGCAAGCAAATGTCCTGTCAAAATGCCTTCTGTGGCTGGAAATCTTTCTAGCTCTTAGAGATTATAAGGCTCAAAATTAACTAGAATTCCCCTAATAAAATTTCAGTTCATAATTTGGGGCCTTTGCCCTTTGTATTCTGTGAGAACTTTTTGGTAGGTATGATGGGAGAGAGAGAGAGAGAGAGAGAGAGAATGTGTGTGTGTGTGTGTGTGTGTGTGTGTGTGTGTGTGTGTTTTGTGCCCATGTGCACATGTGCCCACACCATTATGGTAAATTGCCTTGGTGGATTCCACTCAGCTGTGTAAAAATCTGTAATTCTGGCAGGAACAATTATATCATGTCCATAATATTGAAATAGACCTCCTAGGTTTAGAGAAAAGTGGTTTTTCGCAGACAAAATTGTGTTCTAAGGGATGTGCTAGTAAGCATTTTGATGAGCACAAGCTTATGTGTGGAAAATGTTCGACCCATCTCTCAACGCCTGGTGGAACACTCACTAGTTTTAACATTTAAAGTGCTTTTTAAAAATGGCACTTTAAAGAATCATATAGGGTCCTCCATCTGTTCTGATATCCATTCCTTCATAGATAAGAAAAATATGTTCATTGTTCTAGAATTCATTGCCATGATAAATGACAAAATTTCCAGGGAATTTATATAATGTCCAAATGAGGAAAGCCAATCCAGGAAGAATCTGCATTGAAAATATAACCATTATTTCCAACCATTATCCATGATTTCAGATGTTCAAAAATAGAAACAAAATTTTGAAATTATTTTAATACTCTACAGAATAGCACTATTTTCCTGAAGAAACATTTTTCTAGAATCGTTGCTTTAGAATGTAGTTTTCAGTGCATCTTTATTGGGAACACATTGTGGTACACTCACACACTCAGTTTTAACCCTGAAGTGTAATTTACTTGGCACTTAAATTGATTTTATTTGTGGTTGTATGTCTGTGAATTAGTCTGTAACTTACTGTGAAATTTGCCATCTCTGCCGTGATCAACCCATGAAATTTATCATCTGTCTCTCTGATTTACACAAAACTCCATTTATAATCATCAAACCCAATTTACAAGTGAACAGTATTAAACTAAAATTCTGAACATTGAAGCATTTTGACATTGTATTTGCTGTGCATTGAAAAAGTAAATTACAAGTGTGAACCATGTATAGATATTTTGACATTTATATTTTTAGGTTTCATTTGATCTTAAGTGTGCCATTATTGTGAATTCATTTGCTATTACTGGAAAAGTACTTAATATAATGGATTCATTAGGTATCCACGTGGATGTCACATTTTTTTTATATATTCTACTATAGTTTTACTTCAATTCCACTCTAGAATTGGTTGATGGATTCTCTCATAACTATAGTTCATTTCTAAACATCTAAAACTCCTAACTAAATTTTCTCATACTTAAAATTGTTTAATTATATGGCTTGGAAATAGGAAATTTTACTTGGTCCTTGTCAGAAATATTGAGTAATGGCAGTTCCATTAGAATGGCGTTCATTGTTGATAACTGGGAACAATGTGGTGCAAATGGTGTTAAAGAGACATTGGTGAGGAGGAAAAGAAAAGAAATGCCATTTCCAGGTAAGTTTTTCTGCATCTTTTTTGGTAAATGCCACCATACCGAGCCCTCATTTGTTCTTGTCTTTTCTTAATGCTTTATCTGTTCCTTCAGTGCCGCAATCAGGCACAGGTGGTTCCCTTCACCAAGTGAATGAATATTTAGTGCTGTCAGGAGTGTCCCATGAAAAAGCCCTTCCAGATATCTCCAAACTAGGCTGATTTGTCATTTCTGAACAGGGGATTCCTGTGAGTCACTTCTACACTTAAGCGAAATCTAACCAGCAGAATTACCTAACACTGCAGTTCAAGCCCATATGATTAGTGATGAATCTTCCTAGGGCATTTTAAACAAAAGTGGCTTCATATCCAATTGTACTGGAAAGGGCAGACAGTCTGCATCAAAGCTTTGGATTGTTGAGAAACAATAGCATACGGTTATGATTTTAGCTTGTTTGTACAGCTACAGTGAACTGTTTGCTCGAGATACGATTTCGGGTAAACAAGCCCCTCTAGACTCACTTGGAAAAGCGAACAAGTTCATTGAAACTCTTTGCCTATTAGGCTCAGGAAGAAAATTGAGGCTGAAATCTGCCAGTATTTATAATAGAGTATTTGATTCAGTTGTTTTATCTTATAGTAAAACCAGTGAGAAGAGACAAAGAATTTGAGGGACCAGAACAGACAAAAGTACATATAAAAGTATGTTTAATAAAGGCATAGTGTCAAGGCATTTAGACCTCTCTATCCTACCTTCAGCATTTCCTGTTACCTTTAACAATGTGGTGATTCTCCACTCTAATATCAACTGCAATCTTCTAATTTCAGGAATAAATTGCATACAAAAGTTATTTTCATATTACAGGGCCCGGAAGACAAAGGAATGCCAAGCCTGGACCAAGATATTCAGATTATAATTTGTTTTCTTTTTCTAAATCCTCACTAACCATGAACCATTTCTCCCATTCATGAACTGGTAACAGGTGTCATGCCAAATGATTCTTTTAAAAATAATATCTGTTTCCCACGTTTCAGGTGTGTGCATATCCCAGGAAAAATAATTGTCTGATTTATATGGATCCCCCAAGGTACATTAAACTTGGATATTAAAACAGTAGGTTTATTCTAGGTGAGGCATGGATTTAGAAGTTTAGTTTTTGTTTCAGAGTTTTTGAGAGTAAATCTCTTGCTTTAGAATTACTGATGCAGTGGAACAGACAGCGTATCAATGGTTGATTCTAAGGTAATAGAATTTAATACAGCTCACTGTATGGTTCACAGCCTTTTCCTCTACCCTCTTCTTGCTACCTATGCTAATCCTTCCCAAATCCTATCTCCTGTCCACACTTAGATTTCTAACTTTATTTTATATTTCCACCTGGATACCCCACACATAGTAAAAAACCCACTAATTTTATTCTTAAGAGTTTCACTTATTAGTTATAATTATTAATGCAACCTTAAATAGGCCAGAAAAATAGAACTCCATCTTCTTTTTTATTGAGACAGGATCTTGCTCTGTTGCCCAGGCTGGAGTGCAATGGCACAATCATGGCTCAGTGCAGCCTTGACGTGGACTTCCTGGGCTCAAATGATCCTTGCACCTCAGCCTCCCAAGTAGCTGGGACTACAGGTGCATGCCACCACACCCTGCTAATATATATATTATAAATATATGCCTATAATTATATATATATTATATATATATATATTTATATATGCCTATGATTAGGGTGACTGCAAGTGGTTTTGGAACATAATTTATTTTCAGAAATTTTTATGTTGGGTGAAATAGGAAGTATTGGAAATCCTATATATATATGTGTGTATATATATATTTATATATATATGTGTGTATATATATATTTATATATATATGTGTGTATATATATATTTATATATATGTGTGTATATATATATTTATATATATGTGTGTATATATATATTTATATATATATGTGTGTATATATATATTTATATATATGTGTAGATATATATTTATATATATGTGTAGATATATATTTATATATGTGTATATATATATTTATATATGTGTATATATTTATATATATGTGTATATATATATTTATATATATGTGTATATATATATTTTTATATATATATATAAAAATTTTTTTTGAGACATAGTCTTGCTCTGACGTGCAGGCTGGAGTGCAGTGGCACGATCTCAGCTCACTGCAACCTCCACTTCCCAGGTTGAAACAATTCTCCTGCTTCAGCCTCCCGAGTAGCTGGGACTACAGGTGTGAGCCACCACACCCGGCTAATTTTTGTACTTTTAGTAGAGATGGGGTTTCACCATGTTAGCCAGGCTGGTCTTGAACTCCTGACCTCAGGCAATCCACCCGCCTCGGCCTCCCAAAGTGCTAGGATTACAGGTGTGAGCCACCACACCCGGCCTATTATTTTTATTATTATTTGTAGAGATGAGGATCTCACTATGTTGCCCAAGGTGGACTCCAACTCCTGACCTCAAGCAATCCTCCCACCTCGGCCTCCCAAAGTATTGAGATTAGAAGCAAGAGCTACCGTGCCCGGCCCCCATCTTCCTTTATAACATAATTTGTTTCACACAGGCACCCAAGTTCAAAACCCTACCTTCAACAGCCAATCCAGTACTGCCTGACAATTTACCAATTTATGATGCATTCCTCTTTGGATATTTTAAATATTTTAATTGTAACATATATCCCACTTCAATTCTTATTCTGATACTTCTACCTTTTCTTGTATAATGTGTATTCCTTGAATAGATCATTTATTATATTCATCATGGTATCCCCACTCCCCAACACAGTATCATTTACACAGTGAGTATGTCATAAATGTTTGTGAATCAAGTCAACTGGAATCAAATGGAATCCAAGTATATAATTGCACAAAGTCAAGGTGCCACAGTCAAGACCTCATAGCAGAAGCAGTACACTTCTTAGTGGTTAACATGGGATGTAGTGATCAAAGAGCAAACAGAATCTTAGCCAGGAGAAAGTGTATTATTTTCCAAAAGGGCAGTGATCACGTTGCAGTTGACTCTATACTGTTAAGACTGTGCCACAGGAGTTTCACTGAGGACTGTGTGCCACAGTTAAAGGCACCATAAACTGGAATGAGTTGAGAAGAATGTGAGCAGAGGACTTAGCTTTTTCATGTGAAGCCAAGTCAGATAACTTAGGGAACAACGGAGTTTTCATCATATATCTGACAGTCTGTTGAATGGAAGGGAAGAGTAATATGGCTTGTTCTATGTGGGTATAAGGAATGAAGTCCCCATCAACTGATGAAAACTTCATCAAGGCCAGTATTGGCTGAGTGGTCAATAATGTGTGCCTCATCTTGAGTTAGAGGAAGTATGAGTTTTCTGTCACAGAAAGTGTGTAAAGAGAGGCTAGAGAAGCTCTTGAGAGGGGATGATTCATAGAGGAGTCAAGTATAAGATGAGGATCCTCATCAACTAGAGGTCTACAATTAAGAGATCCTTCTGACTGTGCAATCCTGGGGCTCTATACATTCACAGAATTAGGAGATCCTTCTAACTATGCAATCCTGGGGCTCTATACATTTGGGAGGAGCCCTCCTTATCATCTCATAAAATATTTGTGAACTTCAGTTTTAGTTGTACATTTTGATCCTCTGTAAATCAACTGCACTTCTTAAACCCTTAACTTATTTATTCTAGCTTCTGATATCACTCCCTTCACTTCAGTGCAAGAATCATTTGTGCTCTCCAGTAATTAACTCCAAAATCTTGTTTCTCAGAGCCTTGCATTAAAATTGCATTTTCAGAGGTGAGTGCTTCTGGTAGCCATTCTAGCTACAGTTCTTCCTGGGAAACTATATGGACATGATGTCTGCCATTTCGGAACCTGTCCATTCGGCAAGAAAACAAGTCATTCACCTTTGCATATGGAGCAATAGAATTGTAGGCCAGAGGAACTGTTGATAGCTTCTGTCAAGGGTTCTCCCACCATTGAATCCACCAGCATCACTATTGCCAAAAAGCTATCTGCCGTGGTAAACTCAGCTATTTAAAACTTTGAGAAAGCTCACATGTCATACGACATTCATGGCACACGCTTCCACTACTGTAATACCTTCACTTTATTGGAGTTGTCCCAGATACATTTAAGTACCTGTGTGATTCCTTTTCCAGATCAAGAATGTTCAAATTAGGATCAAGAGGGTGTGTTGATGTGATAGCCCGCACCAGAATATAAGGATGCTCTTTCTTTGAGGCTTGGAATAAAATGAAAGAGAGATCACTTGAAATGCTTATGGCTTCCTATGCCCTTATTTCAGCTTTACTGACCATTTGCAAGGATGTTCCATAGTTCATGAATGCAACTCACATTTGAGTGTAGTGGGGAAAAATCATTGGCCAATTTAAAAAGTCATTGTCTGCAAATGTTTTGACTGAGTTGTGCCTAAACAGAAGATTCTCTTTTTAGGATAGATATCATTCTTTCATCCTGTCTGGTGTTAGAGCCAAGCTGCTTCTTTCAGTAGTCTATCGTTTCTTTTGAGGACAGAGATTATGTCTTGTCTTTCACTATGTAGACATAGCTTATCAGAGTCTCTTGTACTCATAGTAATGGCTTTGGACCCATTTACTAGATTGAATGGTTTGAATTTGTTTTGGAAAGTTGTGATCTGTTCTAGTTTTTATTTCAGTTTTAGTTTCATAACAATAGCTCTGATTTGCAAATTGGAAGAATCTAGACTGTTAGAAGACTGTCAAAATAGAATGTGAATATACAGAGACACCATCTAATTCTCATTTCTAGGGATAGTAACATGGTAAGTTCTAATGTTGCCCTAAATACATATTTTTGAGGAGTTGAAATCGTTCTGCTTGCTGTATTTGTACAGAGATATCTTTTATTCAGTTTTATCTATTCGTTGTAGAGACTAAAATCTGTGTATTGTAGGCATTAACATATTAATCTTTTTAAGTTCTCCAGAATAGAATCTTTTTGGCACTTTCATGTTTGGAAATTATAACTCGTAATTAGGCATATTATCACTTTATAGAAAAATAATATATCACTATAGAACTGAAAATAATATATATATTTTTTTTCCTTTTTTTTTGTCATTTGGGGGAAGGAAGGTGGTTTACATTGAGTATCTCTTATTTGCCAAAAAGTGTGGGAAGTTTTTTTGTATACATCATTTCATTTAATTTTTGTGATTCTTTGAAGCAGGTGTTATCATCATCCCAATTTTATTAATGTTCAAACTGAGTCTCCAAGGGATTAAAGTATCTGGCTTGAGGTCATAGAATAAAGGATTTAAACTAAAAATCTGTCCAGTTTCCAAACCAATGTTTCTTTAAACTACAATAAATCCATGCAATTGGGCTTGTTGTCTGTGGCATCGTGCTTTGTATTAGTGTTTTACTTTTGATCCAATGTCATCATTAGAATTTTGCAATGCCTCTCATTTATTCTAAGAATAGCTCATATTTAAAGAAATGCAGAAAGAATGGCCACTCAAATTTTAATGGTGGTAATGTTAGAGGACAGAACTGCAAATGATTCATCACAAATATAAAATAAGCACATGAAATAAAAAGAACAAAGCATACTGTTGGAATTACCCTGCAGCCCCCTAAATCTTTTAAATCCTACTAACTTGCAACCACAATTGTTGGCTTATTCTTGTTAGTACTCCAGTGTTTCAATTGTTGTTTTTTAATGCTTGCTCACTCATTGTTGCAAAATGTTCTGGTAATTGGATCTTTAAAAAATCTTCAGAATATTATAGATGAGCTTGTTTGCAAATGTGCACATATTAGAGTCTGAACTGTGCACTTTAACCATTCTAGAGATATTGAAAACATGCTAGAAAGTTATGTCATGGAATAAAAAGGAGCTAAATCAAAGATTTAAGCTGCCTCCTGTCACTCCATTAGAGACAACTACTCACATGTACCATTGTGGTCTAAGTGAAAGGTAAATCTTACAAGTAATGGCTTTATTCTCATATTCTTTGATCAGCTGAACTCAGTTGGAGCTATATAAGCAACAAAAAAATCCCCAGCAGGTTAAATCTTTGCCTTTCTTCTAATCTAAATGAAAATATTACAGTCACTAGAAATATGGTAATATGGTGCAAAATGGATCACTTCAGGTCAAGATTTCATGGGTCAACTTGTTTGTTTAAATGTAGTCCCAGATACTCGAGCGACTGAGGCAGGAGAATCACTTGAACCTGGGAGGCGGAGGTTGCAGTGAGCCAAGATCGCGCCACCGCACTCCAGCCTGGGTGATAGAGTGAGACTCCGTCTCAAAAACAAAACAAAACAAAACAAAATTAGACAAATGCTACATTAATGTTTGGGTGGTAAGATTCTATTTTGAAGTCTGAAGTTTGCAGATATGCCTATAGATTTTTGGAGTTTACCACTTTCTTAGTCTGTATCACTAATGAAATATTTTAAATTACTATATATTTTACCGTTTTTCTGTATTTAGTAAGAAATTTGCATTTTTGATTTGATGTAACAAAGGTTTTAATGTAATTTATGTTAGATTTTGCATTTTTTTCGTTACCATTGTACTTTAACCTGACGGAATGACTGATCTCTTTGTATTAGTATTGTGAATAATCATGTGAAATGTTTTGAGACAGAGTATTATATTTGTGAATATAATTTTATGGCTTTTTCACTTAGTAAGAACCTTTCTATTATTGTGGAAAACTAAGAAAATTGCTTTCTGCTGTACAATCTGGCATTCATTGTAGATTAAAGCTTATTTTTCTGTGAATAAAACTTATTCAATAAAATACTAAAAAAATTTTTTTAGGCTAATCAAATTTTGGATTGACTGCCTTGCCAAATGTGCCATTAATTAAATGCCTCCCTGACCACTTTTAACTTGAATGGGAAAAGATAGGATTAGAATGACTATTTTTAAGGATGTCTCTTACACATCCTTGGCACCTGGAACAGTCGTTGGCACACAATAAATGTCAATGTATTGAATGTATAAATTAGTGTGTTTAATGTGAGTGCTCACCAAGGGAAAAACACAATATGTTATTTGTCACCTCTGCAAAATTATAATCGTACCTATCTCATAGAGTTACAGTATAAGGATAAAATTATATAATCATGTTAAATCCTTTGAGTAGTGTATGATACATTGTAATCACTCAGTAAATATTACGGTGTAAAGTACATAGTAGAGGATTTGCTTTTTACAATGACTTTGCTGTTTGAATTGTGAGATACACACATACACACACTCGCAGGCAAGTGCACACACATAGTGTGGCACGGTAGAAAGGGTAGCATACTAGTGGTCAGGAGAACTGGATTGAATGCTTATTCCAAAGTTTGCATGTTCTCTGAAGTCAGGAAGGCATTATTACTTATCTCGCTTCAATTGTCTGTCCTGTAAAATGGGAATTGTAATACTTGAACTGCTGGAAGGCAGGGTTTTAAGATAAACTCTCTTTAGAGGGCTTTTCAAAGGTACTTAATGGCCCTGAGTCAATGATAAACCTAGTATAAATTGAGAAAGCCTAAAATAAGAATAGGTTCATGACCTATAAATACTTAATCTAAAAATCATCACTTAATGATGATGATCACAGAACCTAGAATAGTCATGGGCTATTTAAACTGGAAAAATCCCTTACTCAACAGATTCGGAAATGGAGACCCTGTTAAATAAAGTAAATTGCCCAAAGCCAGACACAATTTCTAAGAGGAAGATTCCAATTAGAAATTACGCATTCAACTAGTGATGAAATTGATCAGGTTGTTCTCATTGCATAACTGACTTGGATTAAAAAATGGCACAACAGAACTGAAGACAAATAAGGCTCTTAAAATATATGCAGTGATAAAATGGATCTCTTTCAAAATGGATGATTCTCTGCACCCTTCCTCTCTGCCTCCCTACATAGCAGTTTCCATCCATCACATAGGCAATATAGACTTGAGAGCAATACTTATAATTTTTCTAGGCTTCTGCTCCATCTTTCTGCTTAGACAAATGGAAACATTTAAATTCTTATGATTTTATAAATAACATAGCATTACATATTTATTCTTGTGGCAAAACATATATGACATCAAATTTACCATTTTAACCATTTTTAGTGTACAATTCAGTGGCATTAAGTATGTTTGCAATATTGTGTAACTGTCATCATTATCTATTTCCAAAATTTTACTTTTTTGTCACCTGAAACAAAAAGTCTAATATAAAACACATTGAGAAATAAAATATATGTTGATTTTTGGAAAATTTGTTAGAGTAGTGCATTAACCTCATGTAGATAATTTGCACAATGGGTTTATGTTTCTTTTTCTGTTAAATTCAGTTTAAACCATGATTTATTTGCCCTAGGTATATGTCATAGCCCTTGGAGGCAAATTTCACATATTTTTGAGCCTGTGAAATAGTACCAGTTTCATAGGTTGGGCCAAGGTCAGTTGACTGGATGAACTGTAAGAATTATCTATCTTAAAAATAACGGCTGGACTGGGCTCATTTTAATACTCTTACTGATCACCATTTTCATATATTGTTTAATTATTTAGAAACCTTTTTCTGTAATGAATTATACCTGATTAAATTATTTGCATTACCATGTGTTTAAATGTGCCAACCATAGTCAAATATTATCATTAAAATGCTTAATTTGCCAAGTATAGAGTCAAGAGCAACTCAGTAAATAAAGGATGAAGAAATTTTCTCTATGTAGAATAGTTTTTCCTTTGCTTGAATATATCATAGTTAAAAATTTTTCTAATGGAGAACAAAGGCTAGAATCCAATTCAGCTCTGGAAAAAAAATCATTTTGTAAAATGGATAAACTGCCATTTTTCTTACCCAGTGATTCATCATGTATTTCTAAATTCTGATAAGAATTGTTACAAGTCTTTTCTCTAGCATTATTAGAAAATCTACATTATTATGTATGACAGACCATGTCAAAATAATTGTGTGTGGGACTAGTCTAGGTTAAGGGGAATCGTATTTGATGTTACTAATTTTCACATTATTTCACCTATAAAAATTCTTCTAGCAGCAAAAGTTTTATTGCACTGTATTTCAGAGTCTCTAATTTATTCATGGGATAAATGTTTCATATAATGAATTTTCAAGTAAATGTATTCTGAAATTCATGCATAACCATGCCTGCTCTAAAACTATAAAAATTTGGTTAAAATTGAGGCATCTCCTCATTCCCCTTGGAAAGTATATTGGGGAACCTGGAAGATTTTATGCTAATGAAGGCAATATGGTTCAGCTTTTCTTTTTATCCAATATATTTCTTTTATTGAGTTCAAACCATTGTCCTAATTAATAACTTTAAATGGAAGCACTTCATCAATTGTATTGAGGCACTAATACTGCTTAAAAGGTAGTATGTGCTAGGCCCATCCTGTGTCATTCAACACATGCCTTGTGATAGAGAAATATGTTCTACATTTTCTTCTGAATATTTTGTGTGGTTTAAGAGCCCTCTGCCATATGATCTTGTATCTGCCTTTCTTCCCTCACTCACTCCCTGCTTCATCTCCTCCTTTGGATTTTTGTAGTGGTGGTGGTGGTTGCTCATCTCGATGCTGTGCTACAGTCTGTGGGCATTGGTAAGGAGCATCTCTCTGGTGTGATCCACACACAATAAACAGACATGAATACAAGTAATGGTTTAAAGCATGCAGTCACATCTGCCTCCATCTTCACATGGAAGGGTGGTCTGAGGTTATTCTGGCAGGATTTTATTCTACTATTTGTTCAATTTGCCAATGTAAGAGATAAACATAGGATTTGGAAGTATAGAATCTATGTTTATCCTCAATACCAAGAATTCTTGTGCCTTGGGAATGTTGCCGTATGCCAAACCCAAGGTATTATATTTAAAGATTAAGTTCCTGAAAAACCCTCATTTTCAAAGAATAACATTATATTGCATTTGTAAAGTTGTAAAGTAGAATTTCATATATAAAAAAATCTGTATTCACTCCCCTCAAGACAGCGAAGAAGGTCACTTTTCCTAGGGAAAAGAACAACACAAATTTTAAAAGATCACACAGTGTGTGTTTCTTTGCCTAGACAGCCTCTTTGGTTTGGAATCCTTCCCTGAAAGATGGGCAGTGATCAGACTGGGCAACCCCTCCCTCAATTAAAAATAAAGAAAAAACAGTCTATTATGTGTAGTTTTTAATGAGTATAAAACTCAATATGCAATGAATTCAATATACAATGAAATGTCAGAAATACAATATATAATGAAATGTTTCATTTGAAGAGAGAGGCTGTTGTGCATTTATACTCATTCATTCATTCACGCATTCAGCGACATTTATTGTGTACCTACTATGGACTGGTCACTTTTCTAGGTTCTAGGGACATAATAATGAATAAAACAAGTCAGGACTCTGCCGTCTTCAAACTTGCATCCTTGGAGCGGTGGCAGATGGATATCAGAGAATAATGAAAATAAGTGTGTAAAATATAAAATATGTAGGATGATGACAAGTGCTATTAAAAACATGAAATCAGGGAGGGTGTTAGAGAATGGCTCAGGGGCTCAATTTCTAAGAGTGGTTAGGAGAGGCCTAACGGATGTGACATTTGAACAAAGACTTGAAGGAGGTGAGGAAGCAAGCCATGGACTATGTGTGGGAAGAGCCTTCCAAACAAGGGGAACAGCAAGTGCAAAGGATGTCTGAAAAATATAAAGAGGCCATAGAGGCTGGAGCAGAGTACTCAAAGGGGAGAATGGCAGCAGATGAGACAGGGAGGGGAAGGTTGTTTCCATTTTGGGTAGGTAGAGAACAGGTCTTGGAGCAGCATCTTGCAGACCATTTATAAGGGCCATGGATTTTACTCTAAGTGAGATGAGAGCCGTTGAAGGGTTTTGAGCAGCACGAGTGAGGCACCTTTGCATGGCACTTTGGTGGTTATAGAAATGCATCAAATTTTGTCATTTCTCTTGATGTGATATAGTAAACTTCGATAATGGGATTTTATAAAACTCATGTCTCTTAGGGCTAGCACCTTCAGTGTTGGGGGAGGTTGGTCTTGCAGTGAAGAATGCACAATGTGCCCTGATTAAATAATTAGCAATAAATTTTACAGAAAATACCTTCAGCATAGGATTTCCAGTACTTCCTATTTCACCCAACATACAAAATTTCTGAAAAATAAATTATGTTCCAAAACCACTTGCAGTCAGCCTAATTATAGGCATCTCTATCTCTTCTATCCATTGGCAGGAATAAACTTGAAAAGGCTGCCCACTTATTGAGTCTTGAGTCCAAAAATCAATGTGAGGTAGTCAGTTCTCAAATAAAAGAGATTGGGAAGAAAGCAGGAAGAGGATTGAAAAATTGGCCTCCTCAGAAATGCACGAAGGGGACATTTGCAGTCTTAAGGGGCATATTTCCTAGTAGCATGTCTTGTAGGGGCCCTACTGAGGTAAATGAGTTAATCTTAGTCTGTTTAAGAAGTTCCATTATAATGGTTCTTTCAGGGTATGAAAATGCAAAGAAGTGAATCTTTCAATGACCAGATGCATAGAAGCATGTTTTAAATGACTGCAATGTAATTGATATATGCTGCCATCAGTTGTGACCCAGGTAATAGTGCAGCTAAAATAATTTCAAGTGGGTCAAGATATCCCTGGAGTACTTCCTGCAGTGTTATAAAAAATCTCCCAGCAATGTATCTTAAGTTCTGTAAATCATGTTAAACTTAATGAAACCTTCTGCAAGAGCATTCCATTTCTATGATGCATTTAACTGCAGTTGTTGACATGTTGTATCTTAATTGAAGAAATATGTAAACTTTTGATTAATTGCTTGTGGTACCAGGAATATAAAATATACTGACCACTTTTTTAAAGTAAGATTTAGGGTATGTGTCTTTATGTATAATTGATTACTCCCTAATTAATTAAAATATGCTCCTTTAGACTTTGTTTTCCATCTCAGACTAATATTTGCATTCCTATGTTGTGGATTTAGTTTATGATGCTTATTTTTTTAAGATAGAAAACTCTGAAACTCAAGGCTGACCTGCAGTATGTTCATCATGTTTATTCTTACTGCTTTGGCACAGTTGAGTTTGATAATAATAATGCTAGCTTAGTTCAGTCAGATTCAGTGCCCTTGGAGTACCTACTCTGTGCAGTACTGTGTTTTGTGGAAGTCGTGCAGTGTCTTCAATTGAACAAGTATATACCATGGCTACAACACAAAAAATTTACTGAGAACCAAAATTTTATGCCAATGGCCTGTCGATAGTCTCCTTCCTCCTAAGATGTCGCCTCCAGAATGTCAGGAGCTTCCTCTGTCTCATTCACTTCTGTATCCCTAGCCAGATTGACACATCAAATTAACCATCATAGTGCTGGACACAGAGTAAATGCTTACTGCATATTTGTTGAAAGAGTGAATAAATGTGAGAACAAACATTTGCTATATACCTACTGTGTGCAGGGGTCTAGGCCAAGTAGGTCACAGTCCCTCCTATTGAGTAGTTTAGTCTTGATGATGTGGGAAATGAGGCTGAAGACAGAAATCAGAGAAACAAAAATAAAATAAAGGGAAGAGGAGAGTGAAAGTTCAAAAATGAGTTGATGGTGTCTGCCAGGAAAAACCAGGAATGCCGTCACTGCAGAGGTGGGGTTCAAGGAAGCATCCCAGGACCTTGAACAGCAGACCTTGAACACCAGGATGAAGCGTAGTCTGGCTGGGAGAATGACGTTGATAGAAGCGCTAACAAGGGAAAGGACACATTATGTTTGCAGAGCAGCAAGTGATCTGAGTTTCTTATCAAGCAATTTATAAAAATGTAGGCATGTTCCTTATCAAGCAATTAGTAAGCATGTTCTTCTAGCACCTTTAATGTCACTAGATTTAGTTTCTGGTTAGGTGTACAAGCAAAGGGGAAGAAGTTCAGCAAGTAATACATCAAGAAAGCCCCAGATCAGCACATATATGTACACCATTCCACTCCCACTAGTGTGTGCTCGCTGGCACACACAGACATACACACACACATGCGTGCATGCTCCGGATGATTCCAAGCATAGCTCTCTCCTGTTGCTGCCAGACTTGACCTCTTCTAATGATGGGGAGCAGACCACAGAGAAGTCTCTTGCACATATCCCAATATGAGGATGATAGGGGCCATTTGAACACATATGTCCAAAGAGAAACCATGAGGTTTTAATTGTGGTCAAAAGCATTCTACTTATAGACTTGAATCCAGATGGATGAATTCACTGCTCAACAGCATAGGTATGAATTTGTTTAATCAACTTCGTAAGAACCAAGTCAAGTTCAGATACACTTACTTTGCAGTCTAATTTTCTAGGGGTCCCAAAGTTTTAATACAATCATCTTCTCTGATTTCCCACAGGAAATGATGATCCCATACATTTAAAATGTTTTAATTACTCAAGGAATACAGGAATACATGATTAAACACAAACACTACAGATAAGCCTCAAGTGCCCTTTTGCTTCTGTCTGAAATTCTTGTCCCTTCTCCTGCTTTTGTAGGTAAAAACTGCTATGAATTTGATGCCTTCAAAGCATCATTTCTCTCTCTCTCTCTGTGTGTGTGTGTATTCACAACCACATTATATATATTATTTTGCATAGGTGCATTTTACATAAATGGTTATATATACATATATATGTGTATGTGTCTGTGTGTACATATATAGTAAGTGTTGCTGTTTTCAGCTAACTATATGTCATAGTAATCTACTGGCTTTAACTCAATCCTTTGACCAGCTGTCCCAAATTCTAGGCTATTAAATATGATAATGCACTGTTTATTGTGCCATCCCCTTGTTGGAGGACACTGGAGTTGTTTCCAGTTTTTTGGCTGTTGGAAACAGTGCTACACTTAACACATTTCTATACTATACTCCTAGTGCCCCCAGGGAAGAATCAAAAGAGAGAACGTTGGACCCTACAACTTAATTTTAAACAAATGTCTTCTGATAGAAGAATCTATGCCAGTGTAAGATGAGCTTCCTTATTTCCTTAACTTCTTATTTCAGGTGATATGAATGACCTTGGTTGGGGGAGTGTTTCTAGATTAGTCATTATTGGTCCTACATATATTTTCCCATGACATACAGGGTGGCAGGCCATTTTCTCTCTGAGTTTACTATGGATGGCTCTGCTACAGTGTCTTGTTTTAATTACTCAAGGAATTACAACTCAAGGTGTTGAAACTGCATATCAGAGGGGATTTCTAAATGCAGGGAGCCCCTCTCTCAGTTGCCTTATCTATATATACTCTTACATAGGAATAGTGACTTACTACTTGCTCTCCCCACTCACCACAGATGCCTTTTGTGGCCTCTGTCTTCCTTCTTTTTCTCACAAATAGTTCTTGGACACCTTTATGTGCCACACACTATTGTAGACACTGGGGATCCATCAAGGAATACAGCAAACTAAATTCTTGCCCATGTGGAGGTTATATTTTAGAGGGAGGAGACAGATAATAAATGATAAGCACAATAAGGAAAGTATAGTATGTTCAAGCATGCTAAGTGCTAGAGGAAAAAAAGGAAAACAGTCTGGCAATTCTGCAAAAAGTTAAAGATAAAGATATCATATAACTCAACAGTTGCACTTCTAGGTATACATTTAAGAGAACTGAAACCATACGTCCACACAGAAAAATGGCACGCAGATGTTCATAATAGCATTATTCATAATAGCCCCAAAGTGGAAACATCTCAAATCTCCATCAATGGACAAACGAATACACAAAATATGGTCTATCCATACAGTGGAATATTATTCAGCCATGTAAATGAATGAAGTACGAATACATACCACAACATAGATGAACCATAACAACATTAGGCTAACTGAAAGAGGTTTGAAACAAAACGTCACATATATTATTTCATTAATATGAAACATTCAGAAATAGGCAAGTCCCTAGAGACAGAAAGCAGCTTATCAGTTACCAGAGGATGGGGAACACAGAGTAACTGCTTAATATGTAGAGTCTCTCCTTTTCGGGTGATGAAAATGTTTAAGAATCAGACAGTGGTGATGTTCACTTAACATTGTGAGTGTACTTAATGCCACTGAATTACACACTTAAAAATGGTTGGTGTTTAATTTTATGTCTTGTAGTTTTACCTACATTTAAAAAAATGGAGCAGGTCAAGGAGGACCTGGATTGCAGAATTGGAGTGCAATTTTGAAGGGTATCACTGAACAGGTGCCATCTGAGCTGCAAACATACCAGGTAGCGGGGGCAGCCATTCAAAGGGTCATAAGAAGGGGCATTGCCTGGTGTGTTCAGAGAACAGGAAGGAGGCAATGTGCCTGGATGTGAGTAAAGGAAGGGCAATAGGAACAGAGGCAGCCTTGGTCTTCCTCATTCACCTGCTGTTTTAGACACCACTGGCTGCAATTGCCCACAGTTAGTTACCTGCCCAAAGTTGCAGTGATGATGGTACTGGCAGTGGTGAGGAAAAGAAGGGAAAAGGCAGAAAAATCACTCCAGATACTTCCCAAGGCCCAGAATTTGATCATACATTATTTCTTTTGACTATGAGTTTCCTTTACATGATATTTCCCCTTAGTTTTTTTT